>NW_003315953.2:0-133151 GCF_000001405.40 Homo sapiens | reverse complement strand
AGAACAAAGACTGAGACTTCTTATGTTTATTCTTAGAGCTAAACACAGTCCCTGGCACCTAGCTGCTGTCTAATAATGCCAGAGGGATGGGTGGGTGGATGGATGGTTGAATGGAGCTGCTGTTAAAGAAGAAGCAAGTCACTGATGAGACTATGGCATTAATGGAAGAGCAAGGAGAACAGCAAGTTGCTTCAGCTTAGCCACCTTTATTGGACAGTTACATATTTTACCTGATTGGAGAAGTCCCTAAGGAACACAAGCATGCATAGCAAGGGAGCACATACATGATGACAGAAAAAACTACATGCAGGAAAGAGACCCGAGATGATGTGGCAAAGCAGCTCTTCTCAGCTTAATCGTAGCAGAAGACAAGAACCTGGAATGTCTCCCTCTCACTGTCCAGAAGGCCTTCATTTAAGTGATCAGGATACTGACATTTCTGATGAGTTCTTTGAGGGGTAAGCCGATTGTGAGTAACAATGCAGAAAGAAAGAGCTCCTAGCTAAGTCATAATGAGCTTTGGGGAGGACAGTGCAGTTTTGTCTCTAGCTGGTGGCTTGACTTGCAAGAATTGGGGGGCTGAAGCCAATTTAGCAGTTGGCAGGCTTGCTGGCAGCAGGCTGAGCTGCTGCGGCCTCACGGGTGGTTGGGCTGATGGGTTTGGCTTCAGTGGGCTGGCAGGGAGCCTCTTCTGAGACATCCACCTTGCAGGGGGTTGTGTCAACACAATCCAGTTGGCTGGAAGTGGATTTTTTGCAATCCCGTTTGCAAGAGTCAGACTCAGTGCAAGATGGGCGGAAGTAGACTGGGCGGCAAGAGTAGGAAGTGACACAGGCTGGGCGGCGCAGGATGGAGTAGCATGGGCGATAGCAGGCAGGACGGTAGGAGATGGATGTCATGTATGGCTGCCTATAGGTGAGGAGTCCAGAGCAGATTGGGCGGCAGATCGGACGGGAGACCGGGCGGTAGGAAATCGTAGCACTGCAAGGCCGTTTGCTGGAACTGGGTATGTAGAAAGTCCTAGGACAAGTTGGTCGGCAGATGGCAGATGCAGAAGACCCTGGACTGCAGGAAAGAGGTCGGCAGGAGGTAGATGGGCAGGAAACTGGCTCAGGGCAGACAGAAGGACAGCGCTTGACTACATAGCAAGTAGGTTGGCATGGACTGGACACACAGACAGCTGGTGAGCAGGGGCTGGGCTCAGAGCAGATGGGTTGGCAGATACTGGAGACACAACAAGAAGGCTCTTGGCAAGTGCTGGGGACAGAAGGTGGCTCGCACGAGCTCTGAACACAGCAGACAGGGCGGAGGCAAACTGGCTCACAGACCAGAGCCACACACGTAGCTGGCTGGCAGATGCTAGACTCTGAGCAACTTGGCTCACAAGGGCTGGGGTCACAGCAGACAGCCTGGCAGCTACTGGTCACAGAGCAGGTAGGTGTCGGGCACACCGGCTGACAGCAGGAAGGCTCACAGACCACAGGTTGGCAGGAACTAGGCAGGGTGCAGACAGCTGAACAGCAGCTGGGCTCACAGACAACTGGCTGGCAGCAGCTGGATTTGCAGAGGACAGGCTGGCAGGAAGTGGGCACACAGAGGACTGGTTGGCAGGAAGTGGCTTCAGAGCCTACAGGCTGGCAGCAGCTGCTCACGGAGCAAGAAGGCTCACAAATAGCAGGCTCACAGCACACAGGTTGAGCACAGCTGCTCACGGAACAAGAAGGCTCACAAACGGTGGCCTCAAAGCACACAGGTTGGCAGCAGTTGCTCACTGAGCAAGAAGGCTCACAGATGGTGGCCTCGAAGCACACAGGTTGGTAGCAGTTGCTCACAGAGCAAGAAGGCTCACAGGTGGTGGCCTCACAGCACACGGGTTGGCAGCCGCTGCTCACGGAGCAAGAAGGCTCACAAATGACAGGATCACAGCACAGGGGTTGGGCACAGCTACTCACAGGACAGGAGGGCTGACGGCACTGTGGCCCACAGCTGGATGATCCACAGCTGTCTTGACAAGTCACCAGCTGCCATGTCTGGCTCTGGCAGGAACTGGGCAGGCAGATGGGGCCTCCACAGCTCACCTCAGTGGAGCAGAGAGAGGTGGCTGGCACGGAGAAGCATTTCCTAGAAGAGCAACTGCCAGACATGGTGGAGGTGGCCGTGCTTCCTTGTGCTGAGTGCTGAGAGGTTGCTGCCTCACTGTGACAGCTCCCTGAGGCCCTCACTTTTATACCCCCTCACTGGCGTGTTCTGTTTGGGACTCCTGCATCTTTTCCTCATTGTTGTTTGGGCCAGTTTGCAGAGGAACATCTTATTATACCACCGTTTGTTGATCTGGAAGCTGTTTATCTACCCGTAAAGAAGGTGTTTATTTATTGATGTGCTAAATTTGGAATCCTCAGAGCTACAGGTAGTCTTGGAAGAAGCATCCTCACCTCCAAACTGGATAATCTATATTTCTGAGCATTGTGAACAGGGAAAGAAGAATGAAACTTATGATTTATCCACCTTCTAGTCTTCCATACAGGGCCCTGGGTTGGATTCAGAGGATGCCACAGGAATAAGACCTATTCACCCATTCTCTTGGATCTCGCCTTCTAGTGGGCAGATAAGCATGCAGACAAACTCACTGCAATACAATAATAAGTTCAACAATAGACATACAGAGATTAATTGAGAGGAGAGGTGATGAACTCAGTTGGGAAAAGAACAACTGGGCTGGATTTTAAATGACTGCACCTTACAGCAATGATCTTGCTTAAAACCACCAGCAATCTCATGAGGCAGAGATTTTTCTCCACCATTAGAAATGAATAAATGGTCCAGGAACCATGGCTCACGCCTGTAATCCCAGCACTTTGGGAGGCTGAGGCAGGCAGATCACCTGAAGTCAGAAGTTCGAGACCAGATTGGCCAACATGGCAAAAACCCATCTCCACTAAAAATATAAAAAATAGCCAGGCATGGTGGCACACACCTGTAATCCCAAATGCTTGGGAGGCTAAGGCAGGAGAATCACTTGAACCTGGGAGGTGGAGGTTGCAGTGAGCCAAGATCAAGCCACTGCACTCCTGCCTGGGTGACAGAGGAAGACTCTGTCAAAAAAAGAAAAAGAAAAAAAAGGAAGGAAGGAAGGAAAGAAGGAAGGAAGGAATGAAGGAAGGAAAGAAGGAAAGAAGGAAGGAAGGAAGAAAGAAGGAAATAAAGAAAGAAAAGAAAGAAAGAAGAAAGAAAAGAAGAAAGAAAGAAAGAAAGAAAGAAAGAAAGAAAGAAAGAAAGAAAGGAAAGAAAGAAAGAAAGAAGGAAAGAAAGAAAGAAAGAAAGAAAGAAAGAAAGAAAGAAAAGAAAGAAAGAAAGAGAAAGAAATGAAGAAATGGGGGCAGAGGGTCAGAAAGTTTCAGTCACTTGCTAAAGATCACACACAGTCTGTCCCTGATCTAAGGCGGCTGTCCCTCCTTCTCACCAACCTGTCTAGACCTACCTTTCTCAGAAGACTTCATCAAAGTCACATATCGCCAGCTTAGCCCACCGCTGTCCTCCATGCTATCCCATGAACATAGAACATTGGCTTGACCTGTTCCTGGAAATCATGTGACCCAGCCTTTCTGCTCTTCCTCAAGCATTCATTAGACCTCCAGGGTCTTCCTTGCTTTTAATGATTTTGACAGTTCCTTTAAAAAAAAAAAATCTCCAAGACCCAAAGGGTAAATAGTAAAAACAAGAGACTTCTCAGGTGTGTCTCTCAAAGACTTTGTGAACAAAAGACTCGTCTTTGCTACTCTTGAGACAGATGAAGGGAGAAATGAATCCTAGGTTTCTGAATTCCAGGACTTAACATCTTGCTCAGTGAAGGGCCTAGTTTGCCTCCACCATGTGTTTTCATCAACACAAAAGGCAGGCTCTCGCTTGGAAAAGCTGAGCCATTCTGCCATCCATTGTGCCATCCATTCATCCCTCCCTTCATTTATTAATTCATGCAATCATTGACTCAGTTTCTCTTTTATTTATGCACTCAACTCAGCCAACACTGGGTTCTGTGTGATAGATACAAAAAGAGTGAGTTGTAATTCTGGCCACAAGGAGCCCAAGTTTAGAAGAGAGATAGACACATCTATAAGCAAGTATGGTACAGAATGCAAGTGTTGTGAAAGAGGGATGCAGGGGGTGGATGCAGCAGAGAGAGATAGCTGGTATGGAGAGGCATTTCCTAGAACAGCATCTGCCAGACATGGTAGAGGTGGCCATGCTTCCTGTGAGTGCTGAGAGGTCACTGCCTGACTGTGACAGCTCCCCGAGGCCCTCACTTTGGAGGCACCCAGGAGAGATATTGACATGGTTTTTGGAGGCTGGGCATGGTGGCTCACACCTGTAATCCCAACACTTTGAGAGGCTGAGGTGAGTGTATCACTTGAGGTCAGGAGTTCGAGACAAGCCGGGCCAACATGGAGAAACCCTGTCCCTACTAAAAATACAAAAATTAGCTGGGCATGCTGACATGTGCCTGTAATTCCAGCTGCACTTGGGAGGCTGAGGCAGGAGAATTGCTTGAACCCGGGAGGCAGAGGTTGCAGTGAGCCAAGATGGCACTATGGGTGACAGAGCGAGACTCTGTCCCAAAGGAAAATTTTTAAAAGGACATGGTTTTTGGGGAATTAGAGAAGCCTTTTCAAGTAATATGAAGGCTCAAAGAGAGTGGACAAAAAGGGGGTCATAAAGGCAGGAAAAGGATAAGATGTGGAAATCAAAGACATAGAGCACATAACATTTGGGAAGCAGCAAATGGTTCAACATATCCAGGATGAAAAGCAGAGGGGATAGGAGGGAAAAGCAGTGGGGCTAGAGGGGTTACTAGGCACCCAATCATGAAAGGTCTTGTGGACCATGATTAAGAAGTTGTATTTTTTTAATGATAATGAGGGTTTAAGCAGGAGAGTAACTTGATCAGGGTTGCCCTTTCAGAAGGATGTGTCCCCTCTCTCTGGATGTGGAGAAGGGAGGTTGAGGGCAAGTCTGAAGGCAGGGAGACCATTAGGGGTCTGTGGCAATCACTTAGAAGTTTCATGGCAACAACCTGAATTGGGCAGGTTCAGAGACCTGAGAGACGGGTCATGGTAGTTGAAAATGGAGGATTAGGAACAGGGAGTGCCATTCTTTTAAATGTGGCTCTCAAGCAGTGGGCAAAGAAGACTTTTGGACAGGCCTGCAGAGGCAAACACAGAGGAGATGCTGAGACCCTTCTCTTTTCCATTCACTTCTCTTCCTCAGCTAAACCAGCAGTGAATGGAAGTCCGCCCCACAAACAAATTTCTCATAAACTCTCTCAGCCAAGAAACTCATCCATTGTGCTGGAATGTCATCTCTTCGAAGAATCCTTCCCTGCTAAATGAAAAGGCAGGTCATTCAACTATGTAGCCCATTTCTACTTTATTCTTCTTTATGGCTCTTATCACCCCTTGACCTCATATAAGCACCATGAGGGCAAGGACCTTGTCTATTCACAGATGCATACCCAGCATCCAGAGCAGCAGCTGATACATTGGAGGCACACGATTAGCATTTATTGAGTGAATAAATGAGAACCTCTGTGGATAGCTAAGAAGGGCAAGCCTGTATCAGTAATTCAAAAATCACTACCGCCACACATGCATCCAGGAGGCATGACCGTGCGCAATAGAATAATCAGCTGCTCTGAATCACAACTACTCAGTGCAGATTCACTGGTCTCTGGACAAGTGTGTCCCATTGGCAGCTCCTGCTTTGGCGGTGGCTTTGTCTTAGGGGTTAAAGAGCCAGTTCCTAGGAAGCCAGTTCCAGCCAGAGTGAAAATGGCTCAAATAGTAGAGTCCGAAACTGAACCAAGGCAGAGTCAAATCTCAGGTTCTCTCCAAAAGAAGACATTAATAATACTGCTGGGTTCATAAATGAAAGAAAAAAATGAAAACACAATGAGCTACCACTATACACCTGCTGGAATGGCTAGAAATAAAAAGACTGATAATATTAAGTGTTACCAAGGACATAGACACTGGAACTCTCAGACATTGCTGGTTGGAATACAAAATGCTGTGGCCACTTTGCAAAACAACTCGGCAGTTTCACATAAGGTTAAGCATTCACTTACCATTTAAACAGCCATCCAATTGCTAAGTATTTATCCAAAACAAAGCATATGTTCACCAAAAAAAAAAAATTGTACGAGAATGCTCATAGCAGCTTCATTCATAATAGCCAGAAACACAAAAGAATCCAAATGCCCATAAGTAGGTGAATATATTTTTAATGTAGTTTATCTGTATAATGGGATGCCATTCAGTAGAAAAAAAAATGAATTATTGATACCTGCAACAATGAACAGATACAAAACATGATAGGCAAAATGAAAAATAGTGCATACTGCATGATTTCTTTTATATGAAATTCTAGACATGGTGAAATCTGTAGTAACATAAAGAACAGGTTGATGGTTGCCAGGGTCTGGGGGTGGGGGAAGAACTGACTGCAAAGACAAACTGGGAATTTTGGGGGTGATGGAAAGTTCCATAAAGATCTTGAGTGCAGTGGTGGTTACATAAGTATACACGAATGTCAGATCACATCATACTGTTCACTAAAAATGGGAACTTTTTATTATATGTAAATTATATTTCAATAAAGTTGACCATAAAAAATGAAACAAAAAAATTTTTTAAAGAAAAAGGTAAAAGCAACATAATCCCAGTTTTATTCATAACTATGCTTAGAAAACAGTCTGGAAAGCTTATCAGTAATAGACTCTGAGTGGTGAGCCTTCGAATGCTATATTCTTTATATGTTTCTGTATTTTTTCATTTTTTAGAGTTCATTGCTATGCTTATAATCAGAAAAAAATTTTTCTTTGTCAAATGAAACATCGCTTTGTAGGCATAAAAATAAATACTATTTTTCCAGGGCAAGAGCAAAATTAGTTTTATTACACACACAGCTTAAGGTCACTTTCAACAAAAGGTTGATCAACTGTCTTTTGAGTTTTAACCTCCCAGGTGGACCCACACACCTTGGCTGGGCCCTACCTAGCAGAGGTATACTCACTCCCTCCTCCTTAGAACTCAGGCAGAAGAAACGTAGCTGGTTCCAGGTAAGACAACCTAGCACAGAAAAGTGAGACTGGACCAAGCATGAGGCTGGAAGAAGGAACTGTACTGCGCAGAACATCCTCAGAAACTGTGAATTCACTAGCTTTGCCATTAGAAATCCTTTCCATTCAGAACCAATCTTGTTTTACCAAAGCCTCCTTTCCGACTTTGCCAGAAAGTTCTGATCAAGCCTGAAGCCCTCCTGCAGAACCATCCTAGGAGAGCTGTAGTGCAGAAGAAAGCCATGCCCCTCAATCACCATTAAATGTGGCCAGCATCAGCATTCACCCAGGAGCTTTTAAAAATGCAGGTCCCTAGGGACTCTAGGCCCTAGAGCTAACGGGTAAAATCTCCAGTGATAAAACCCAATGATCTATATTTTTAAAAGCTTTTCAAGTGAATCTCATGCAGCACACGGAAGCTTCCGTCTAGATCTATGGTTCTCAAACTTCAGTGCATAAGAATTATCTAAGGTTCTTGTTAAAAACACAGATTCCCAGGCCACACTTTGGTGGATTCTGATTCTGTATGTCTTAGGGAGGGCCTCAGAGTCTCCAGTTTTAACAAGCTCCCAGGTGATTCCGACGCAGGTGATCCAAAAACCACAATTCAAAAACCCTAAGGCAGATGCCAGAGTGAATTTTTCTAACCCAGTCCTCAGCAGGGAGGTCAAGGAAGAGGCAAGAGAACTAATTAGGTTATGCCAGCATGCTCAAATTTATTAAGAGGCTCACAAAGAAGATGGACCTTTTTTGCATCTCAAAGCTGCAGAAAGCCAGGGCGGAGGATCAGTCCCAAAGACACCTTGAAGAAGAGGATGTCTTATAGTACAAGACATTGAACTTCATGTGAATAAGTAAAGTATTGGGGATTCACCCTTGAGCTTGGGATCACTTAGTTGTGACCGAGTTTTAATGTTTCATCAGAGTATGGCTCTTGTTCTCGGTGCCTTGAAATACCAGAGAAGGTGTTGGAGAACAAGCCCTCCTCTACAAATCACAGAAAGACAAGACACTGTCTTGGGGGTATGGAAGGTTCTGGACACGAGGGGCTGTCCCCCTGGAGCAGATGGAGGCTTTCGGTGGGACTGCATCAGTGGTGGAGGGAAAGGTCTTCATTTTGTGTCGCATATAGGTGTGGGCTGGCAGCACACAGGCCCACAGCACCCGGAGCCGCAGCAACTGGACCCACAGCAACTGGATCCACAGCAGCCACCCCCGCAGCCTCCGCAGCCTCCACAGCCTCCGCAGCCAGATCCACAGCAAGACGATCCGCAGCAGCTGCCCCCGCAGCCAGAGCCCCCGCAGCCAGAGCCCCCACAGCCACAGCAGGAGCCGCAGCAGCCACAGCAGCCCGGCTGACAGCAGCACTCTTCACAGCAGTTTTGCTCCTGGGTGCAGCAGGTGAAGCAGTCCCCCGGGCAGCACCCCATGGTCCGGGCCCGTCAGCTCGCAGGTCGGTAACGCAGCCGGAGTTCCCCACGACTGACGGTGGCCAGCCATCTGGATGGCAGCTTTTATATCCCCTCACCCAGGCATGAGGGACGGGATGTTTTCTTTGTTATTATTTATGCAAGTTTCCATAAGACCGGCTCATTAACTGGCTGTTTATTTTCCAGTCCTGAGTACCTCAACTCATAAAAACGCCCCACTCCTGCCAACTGCTGTTTATCCAGAGGGTAAAAATACATCTTCGAAAAGACCTGTCATCATGGCCAAGCATCTGCCAGCTGTCATTAGCCCAGGTTGGAGATGGGAAGGGGAAGCCGGCCACAGCTTCTGGCTCTGGAATGAGGGGCTTGCCTTCCACATCTTCGCAGGTTGGCGATGGACCCCATCTTCCATGGATGCTAGTCCTGGAAAGGCAGACCGGCAACAGCCGAATGCTCTGTTCCCCCTGACACCAGTGGAGGCTACTGAGAACGCCTGGTCACGTGGCTCCTCCCAGGTGGAAATGGCATCCTCATCCCGGTTCATGTGAGCCAGGCAAATGTTTGTGTCTGTGTGTGGTATGGGGAGTGTGCCACACGTTTAGGCTTGGCCGGTGAGCATCAGTCATGAGTAATAACTGCCCTGTGAAACCGAGAGAGACTCATCGTAAAGCTGCAAGAAGCTGGTAAGGCATGGTCTGTCTCGGCGGCAAGGTGAGCTGAATATTCGCACTTCTCTCTAAATAGGTGGGAAGAACTGAGATCAGAACCCTCTACCCACCCCCACTCCAGCCCCAGGCCTTTCCTTGACCGGGGAAGGAAGAGATGCAGGAGGAGGAAGAAGAGGAGAAGGGGAGGAAGAAAGGAAAGAAGAAAAGAAAGAAGAAAGCAGGAAGGAGATCAGTAAATATCCAAAATGCTACATTAAAATGGGAATGTAACGCACTTTTTTTAAGAGTTCGAACCTTATAGACCATCTGGCAGAAGGAGAAATTAGAATACAAAATACCCAGAGTGTCATCCCAAGGAATAAAATGCCTTTGCAAGGAGTCTAAAATCTACAGATGGTTCAGGTCCATGTGTAAATTTTGAGATGGGTCAAAATTTCTGTCTCTTTCTTGGACTTTGGTACCTTGTTCTCCTCTTGGAGTGCCCATGGCAGCCCTGGAGCTGGAATACAACATCTAGTAGGGGTAGAGGACAGAAGATAGGGGTGGGGTGGGAATGGAAGGAGGGATGGGAGTAAGGATCTGGATCAAGGGATCTAGTCCTTCCCTTTTCATTTCCCTTTCTTTGTAAGATGGGCTAGAAGTAAGACAGCCTCTAAGAAGGGCTAGAAGAACTAAGGACAGGGTGGGAGTCGGGAGGGTAAATGATGAATGAGTTACTTGGATCTGATATGATACTCAATACTTCACAGGATATGGAATTTTAGAGCTGGGAGGAACCCCTGAAACATCATCTGGTCCAGGGTTTTATATCAGAATTGCCTAAAAGGGGGCCTTTTGAAAAATACAGATTCCCAAACTGTATTCCAGTCCTTATGATAAATCAGAATGTGTGCTTATGAGAGCTTGAGAAGCTATATATTTTAAACTTTCTCAGGTAACTTGGGTTACATTAGGAAACACTGATATAATCTAATCCTATCATGACCATCACTGCCAAGCACTTGTGTTTTACAGAAGATGATACCAAGGCCCAGAGATGACACATCCGTGGTAGATTGGACCCATGGCCCAGATGTTCTCCCTCCTGGTCCACTGTTTCTTCCACCATACCACATCCACAGATGGGCACCTCTGAGTGAGTATAATACAGCAATGTCTATGGCAGACGTGTCCTTTTTTGTTTGTTTGTTTGTTTTTTTGAGATGGAGTCTCACTCTGCTGCCCAGGCTGGAGCGCAGTAGCTTGATCTTGGCTCATGGCAACTTCCGCCTCCTGGGCTCAAACGATGCTCCTGACTTAGCCTCCCAAGTACCTGGGATTACAGGCACGCACCAACAAGCCCAGCTAATTGCTGTATTTTTAGTAGAGACAGGGTTTCGCCATGTCGCACAGGCTGGTCTGGATCTCCTGACCTCAAGTGATCTGCCCGCCTCGGCCTCCCGAAGTGCTGGGATTACAGGCGTGAGCCACTGCACCCGGCCGACACATCCTTTTACATATTTATTTATTTTAATAAGAGGTCAAGCATTCCCAGGATAAAAGGTACAAAAGAGTAGAAAGTCTTCCTCATCTTCCAATGTCTCACCATTCAGTTCTCCTGCCTCTCACCCACCCCCTCGCTGCTCCCATAATTACTTAACCCCTGTGTACCTGAATTTCTTCATCTATAAAACAGAAATTAGGATAATAATAGTAGCAGTGTCGTAGAGCTGTTTTGATTAAATGAGTAAATATAAATGTATACATATTGAACACTTGGTTGTTTGAACAACTTGAAAATATAAATTATCATACTTTTATATTTAACAATTCATATACTCATGAGCATTTACTCAGATTAAGTACAACATTCAGTGTGCAACTCAAATTATACACTATGATTTCAATTGTGTAAATGTACATGTCATGATGAGGACTTGAAGTCCTCATGGTGGTGTTATTTTTCTTCTGCAATTTATTTCACTGTTGGTCTTTCCACACAAATTGGGCAGCAGTAGGGACTTTTTATATTTACTGCCCCCAGGGTAGGGTTATTACTGTAGAAATGCAGAGAGAATGACTTAGGTCAATGCTTAGCTTATACAATTCAAAGTAGACTTTTGCAATGCAGGAGAGTGGGTGGTCAGATGACCAGGTCCATCTAGCCGCCTGGATGGGGTAATGAGAGGATGTAGACGTAGAGGATGTAGTTCTTTTGTGGACTAAAAGAACTCTAATATCTTGGTTGATGCCATGAGAGGGATGATAGGGCCAAGAGTAAGAGAGAACCATGTATATTTCAGCAAATTCCCACCATGAACCTGTTGCCAGCCTCTTGAAGGCTATGAAATTTCCATTTGATTCAAACATAACACCCCTCAAAGCTCAGACACCTCCTCCAGATGAAGGTTGGGAGGGAGAAATCCTGAATGATTTCTGTGTTTACATAGAACTGACTTTTATTTTTTTCCCCCATAAGGTGGAATGAGGGTTTGAAATAAGTTTAAACAGTCTCAGAGGAAAATAAAGTTATATATTTTTAACATATCTTAGAACATGAATTTTGAAATTTGTAACTAATATATGTTATTATATATTTATATATGTATATATCTTTATGGATACTTATCTACATTAATATAAATATTTACATGCAGATATTTGAAAAAACACTAAAAGGAAAACTAAAGTATTAGCAGTAAATGTATTTATTGTGGCATGATAAATGATTTTTATTTTCTTCTCTTTTTTGTATTTTTTAGAAATTTGCAGTGTGTAGGTATGAAATTTATAATGTAAACATTTTATTATTATTATTATTTGAATACAGTGTCAAAGGCAAATGAAAACCTGGGAACAATACAAGTAACTCATAGACAAAGCTTGCTTTCATTTTCTATTTAACAAAGGATTTCCATCAATCAAAGAGAAAGACCAGCAACCGAGTAGAAAAATTGACAATGGAGATGAAAAGATAATTCATGGAAGAGGGAATATGAATAGCATTTGAGCATATGAAATATTGCTTAGTTGCATTCACAATAACAGAAAAGCAGATTAAAACAATTCCAAAATCCTATCTGTTACCAGATTTGCAAGGTCATATATTTTGATAACACATTATGTAATAAGGAGTGAAGAGACAGATAGTCTCACACATTGCTGATGGGAGTGTAAATTGGTACAACCTTTATGGCAATATCCATCAAAATTACCAATGCAAAAACTAATTGATCCAATAATTTATATTCTAAGAGTTTACGACAGGGATATATCAAGATATATATAAAATGATGTAAGTATACAGTATCTGTTGCAACATGGCTCCAGAATCAACACTATCAAACTACCAACATCATTTTTAACAGAATTTGAAAAAACTATTCTAAATTTCATATGGAACCAGAAAAGATCCCAAAGAGCCAATGCAATCCTAAGCAGAAAGAACAAAGTGGAAGGTATCACGTTACCCAATTTCAAACTATAGTGTAAAGCTACAGTAACCAAAACAGCATGGTACTGGTACAAAAACAGACATATACAATGGAACAGAATAGAGAATCCGGAAATAAAGCTGCTCACCTACAGCCACCTGATCTTTGACAAAGTTAACAAAAATAAGCATTGGGGAAAGGACTCCCGATTCAATAAATGGTGCTGGGATAACTGGCTAGCCATATGCAGAAGAATTAAACAACCTCTGTATTTCACCATATAGAAAAATTAACTCAAGATGGATTAAAGATTTAAATGTAAGGCCTCAAACTATAAGAATCCTAGAAGAAAAACTAGGAAACATCATTCTGAACACTAGTCTTGGGAAAAAATGCATTACTAAGTTCTCAAAAACAAATGCAACAAAAACAAAAATTGACAAGTGGGATCTATTTAAATGAAAGAGCTTCAGCACAGTAAAAGAAACTATCAACAGAGTAAACAGATAACCTATAGAATGGAAGAAAATATCCACAAACTATGCATCCAAAAAAGATCTAATATCCAGAATCTATGAAAAACTTAAACAATTCAACAAGGAAAAAACAAATGACCCTGTTAAAAAGTGGGCAAAAGACATGAACAGACACTTCTCAAAAGAAGACATGCGAGTGGTCAACAAACATGTGAAAAAATGCTCCACATCATTAATCATCAGAGAAATGCAAATCAAAACCACAGTAAGATACCATCTCACACCAGTCAGAATGGCAATTATTAAAAAGTCAAAAAACAACAGATGTTGGTGAGGGTGTAGAGAAAAGGGACCGCTTATACACTGTTGGTGGGAATGTAAATTAGTTCAGCCACTGTGGAACGCAGTTTAGAGATTTCTCAAAGAACTTCAAATAGAACTACCATTCAACCCAGCAATCCCATTACTGGGTGTATTAGTCTGTTCTTGCACTACTATGAAGAAATGCCTGAGACTGGGTAATTTAGAAAGAAAAGAGGATTAATTGGCTCACAGTTTCATAAGCTATACAGGAAGCATGATGCAGGCATCTTCTCAGGTTCTGGGGAGGCCTCAGAAAACTTACAATCATGGCAGCAGGCAAAGGGTAGCTGGCACTTCACATGGCCAGGGCAGGAGGAAGAGAGAGAGTGGGGAGATGCTACACACTTTTAAATGACCAGATCTCACAAGAACTCACTCACTATCACAACCAAGGGGGCTAGTGCTAAACCATTCATCAGAAATCACCCCTGTGATCCAATCACCTCCCACCAGGACCCACCTGCAACGCTGGGAATTAACAACTGAACATGAGATTTGGGCAGGAACACAGATCCAAATTATATCACTGGGTATACATCCAAAAGAAAATAAATCGTTCTACCAAAAAAACACACATCCACTTATATGTTCATTGCAGCACTATTCACAATAGCAAAGACATAGAATCAGCCTAAATGCCCATCAGCAGTGGACTATGTAAGGAAAATGTGGCACACATACACCATGGAATACTACCTGGCCATAAAAAAAAAAATCATGTCATTTGCAGCAACATGGATGCAGCTGGAGGCCATTATCCTAAGTGAATTAATACAAGAACAGAAAGCTAAATACCATGTGTTCTCACTTACAAGTGGGAGCTAAACAGTGAATTCACATGGACGTAAATATGGCAACAATAGACACTGGAGACTATGAGAGGGGAAAGGGAAGGAGAGGAGCAAGGGTAGAAAAACTAACTATTGGTTACTATGCTCACTATCTGGATGATGAGATCAATTGTACCACAAACCTCAGCATATATACCCAGGTAGCAAACCTACACGTATACCCCCTGAATCCAAAAGAAAAGTTGAAATTATTTTTTTAATTACTCTCCAGAAAAATTGTCCTCATTTGTGTTCACTTCACAGTGCCTTCGCCAATATTAGTTGTTATTTTTAAAATCTCTTTGTCAATTGGGTAGGCCAATTATGAAGTCTCATTATAGTATTTATTTGTACTTAGTAATTATCATTGCATATTTTTATAGGCCACTGTTATTTCCTTTTTAGAAATTATCTGCTCATTCTAATTAGCTACCCATCTTTCCCACCTTACTTATATGAACTTATTTTATTATGCCAGGTATATTAACTTTTCGTTGTGTCACTCACACATGTTGCAAAATTTGTCCCAGGGTGTATCACTTTCTTTTAGTTGTGTCTATATTTTTACGCACAGAAATTTCTTTCTATGTAGGGAAATCTTTTTTTCCTAGTGTTTTGTTTCAAAAGTTCTCCTCCATCCCCAAATCAGACAACTATTTGCTTTATTTTCATCTATTTTATGGTTGTATTTTTTATACTTAATGCTGCTATCCATCAGGAATTTACTTTGGTGTGTGGCAGATACTGCTTTACAAAAAAAAAAAAAAATCCTAGTTTTCCTAATTGGGGAACTTGACTGCCTATTAAATGAAGTTTGCTGACAAGATCCTGCCTCTACAAAAAATTAAAAAATAAAAAATTTGCTGGGTGTGGTGGTGCATGCCTGTAGTCCCAGCTACTCAGAAGGCTGAGGCAGGAGGATGGCTTGAGCCTAAGAGCTCAAGGCTGCAGTGACTGAGCTCAAGGAGCCATGATCAAGCCACTACACTCCAGCCTGGGCAATGGAGCGAGACCCTGTCTCTAATAAATAAAAAAAATAGTTTCTGTACAAGAAAGAACAGAATGTAGAGATCAAAAACGCAATCATGTCGTCTGTTCTGGCAGCCTCTAGTGTTCATCTCATGATATTACACAAGCAGCTTCTAGTGTTTCCTTTAGAAGCACTCACAAGACAGGCTCTGACACTAGATTCACCAGAAGCAACTCAACAAAAATTTGGTTTGATGAGAGAAGCTTATTATATTTACATGGAACTAATTTAAACCATGCATCCAATTAACGATCTCTTAGCAAAGGAGACACATTATCAGTCCCTCCCTCATGCCAGGCCCTGCTGTGAGCACTTTATACGTGTTTTCTTGGTTAATGCTCAAGATAGCTCAACACAAGTATTAATATCCTTATTTTGTGCATGAAGAAACTGGAGCTCATGGTGATCAATTACTTTACCCAGACAATGCAGAGCTTGGATTTGAACCCAGATCTGTCTGTTTCTGAAGCCCATCTTCCCTCCTCTATGTCTGGCTTTCTGAGAGAACCACAGAAAATTGCAAAGGCCCTGAGGCAGGAGCGTGATTGGCATGCTTGAGGCCCAGAGGGGAAGTCTGCATCTGGTCTGGTCTGGTGTGAGCAGGGGAGAGCGGCAGACAGCTCAGGGGAAGAAGAAGGCCCAGGTTCAATGACCTGAGGCCGTTGCAAGGCTCTAGCTGTCACTCAGAGGAGATGGAGAGCCAGCAGAGGGTCCTGGGTAGAGGAAGGCTCAGCTGTGGCTCAGGCGTTAACCATTCACTGCCCTCTGTCCTCTGCCTTCAACCCTCAACTTTTTGCCTCTCCACTCCACCATGCTGGGTGGGGAGGGCTGAAGTTAGGGAGCACCCACAGAGGCTCTGATGCTGGCCCTGGGACCCAGGAGTGAGAGTGATGAGGAACTGGCTGCACACATGAGTAGGGCAGCCGGATCTGGCCAGAGAAGCAACACATGCACCCTTTATCTTGGACCCCTCACCCTGGCTCCCTCTGAGTTGCAGGGATGCCCAGCTGGGCTGCCAGCGGACATGGGGCCTCACTATGCTGACATCTACAAAGGCACTGATCGCCTTGGGATTCTGCAGTGAGTCCTCATCCCTTAAAGCACCAATCTCAGCTCAGGGATGGGTTTTGCCCTTAGAAAGGCCTTTCTGAGGCAAGATGTGTCTACCTGGCTCCAGCCAACCTCCTTTTCAGGGCCAGAACTCCTCCCTGGCACCCCTGCAGGTCCAGCCCATGGTCGTTGTTAGGCCAGAGGTGCGTGGCCCATCTAGGGAGCGTGGTTCATCTAGGGAGCGGGTGGGAATGGAGAGAGGGCTAGGTCAGGCCCCTGGGCTCTCAGCAGTTCTGTCTCCAAGTTAGCACAAGAGGAGGGGGGCAGCCTGAGGGTCTGGCCCTGTCCACTTTCTGAGATCCAAGGGTTGTGGCCACAGGGTGAGGGGATGCTTGGCCCAGCCTGGGGGCAGTTGTCCGGCAGATCTCTGAGGGCCCACCTGCCTGTCTTCTTCCCCATTCCCCATGGGGAAGGGCATGGGGAGAATGAGGGCTGTGGCCCTGGGGGAATGGGGGAGAAGATGGGTAGGGCCATGTTCTGGGCGTCTCACGGTGAGACCAGGGAAGCAGCAGAGCTTGTGGCTAAAGGCCCTGGATCTGGTGCTGGGAAGGAATCTGGGGCCAGGTAGGAGCCCAGCCTGGAGCTGATCCCTCGGGGGTCATAGGATAGAGAAACAGAGGATCCCAGGGAAGGTGGGGTGGGAGTGAGCTTATGGGCTGTGCCACTTCTGAAATGCACCCCAAAGGAGCCGATGGTCTGGTGAGGATGACAGAAGGGGTGGAGCCAAAAACACCAACTCACCTGGGACTCGTCAGCAGAGTCCCAGCAGAGGGAGCCGGTCAGTCCCCAAGGCTCTGCGTGGCTTTCCAGAGACTCTGCTTCCAGTTGGCTTGGACAGCACGGTGTGCAGAAAGTGATGGGGGAGACTGACTTAAGGCAGGCGGGACAGTGGGAGAGGACAGTCAGGCGCCCCAATCCCAGCTGCTGCAGTGTCTGGGAGGAGGCTGAGGGCTGACAGCCAAGGGCTCCAAGAGCCAGGTGAGGCTGGAGGTGGGGCAGGGAAGCCATCCTGGCCATCTGTGGGGTCCTCGGTCACCCATGTCACCCTTGGCATCTCCCCAGCAGCCATCGGCAGCCCAATGAGAGAGCAGACAAGGCAGGCATGTGAACAGATCTGGGGAGTATCACTCGGGGGTTCTGACAGGACAAGGATCAAAGAAGGGCCAGGGTGGCTGGGGAAACATTCACCATCTCTGGGTTGACAGGATGGCAGAAATTGGGGAACAAGCAGGGTGGGTGGCTGGAGTGCAGGGAGAGGCAGGTGGATGCCGGGAGGTCAGACCCTGTGAGGGCTTGGGAATGTCGGGTGGGATGGGCCCTGGATGCACCCTGGGTACACCAGGCAAGTCTCAGGCCAGGATCCCTAAACCTCAGCAGGGTGATGTGGTCACTCCCTGAGGGACTCCTGTCAGGGCCCGGCTACCCACCCTGGGTGGCACCTGTCCCGTCTCGGGCTGATTTTTCTCAGCCACCCTGGCCAGGTGACCTCCACTTTTAGTGAAGGCACCTTCCTGTGTCGCCAACTTATCTGGAGCCTTTAGAATGTCTCTGCTGAGGGCCCCACAGAAGCCCAGGACTGAACGGATACCCCCAGGGCTACACAGGTACCCCCAGGCCCCAAATGAGACGCCTTTTATCTCCATCAACAGAGGACATCTTATCCCCCCGTGGCTGCCCTCTGTGGCCTGGAGCCACACCCTCTGGCTCTGATTCTGTGCAACTGACTGTCCCCTCCGTGAGAGTCCTCCTGCCCTCCTGCTGGCCAGGCTCCAGCTGCCCTTGGTGCCCACAGATGGGTCGATGAAGCCCAGATGGCAGCATCTCCCCTTCCCATGTACCCTGGCCCGACCCCACTTCCAGGAGACGACCACGAAACCCAGCACCCACCCAGTTCTTCCCGCCCTCTGTCATGGCCTCAAAGTCAGCCTTGCCTTCCTAGCACCCGGGCCCAGGAGGCCTCCAGGAGCACCTCCGGCCAGGCTCCAGAGGATGTTCCCATCCCTCTTCCCCAGGGCCAAGGCCGCATGGTGGGGTCACCAGGTGGGAGGGTGGGAGGCCCGGTGTTCATGGGCCTTTGCAGCTGCCCAGCAATTCCAGCCGACAGTTCCACATCTTGGGAACAGGCTCTGATTTCATGATGGGCTGGAGGCTTCTCAGGATTCCACAGCCCAAATGGCACAGGGGTCCAGGGGCTCCAAGACCACCAGGAGCATGTGGTACCCACGTCACACCCCAAGACCATGAGGCACTTGGTGAGTTTATGGTCCCCTCGACTCTTCCCTAGAGGCCCAGCATCCCATGGGGCCAGAGGAGTCGGGGGTGCTGGAGCCCCTCGTGGGGCTGGTGAGAGGCTGAGTCCCAGCCAGGGCCTGACCTGGGACGTGGGGTTCTCCATGTACTGGGAGTTGGGTTTCCTTTCCTGCCCTGGAGGAGACAGAGGCACAGGGACAGGGGCCCAGCTCCTGCAGAGCAGGGCTGAGGGCAGTGTGTCCACTGGGAATGCAGGAAGGGGGAAGGTGTTGTGGGGAGCCCTGGACACCACCCAGTACTCTGCACTTGGGGAAGGGTCTTCAGAGGGCCCTAGAAGAAGGAGGTTTTTAGGGCAGGCTAGGGGGCCCTGAGCACCTCTGTTCCTCCTGTCGGGACACGGAAGGGCTATGTGCTCAAGGTTCCTCATTAGCTTGGCTTCTACAGAGGGTGATCAATGGGATAAGGAGGCACAGGGAGACCGTGGCTCAGGGACCCTCCTTGCCCTGCAGTGCTCTACTTCCCCAGCCCAGGGGTCTGGCTCACCCCCAGCCCACAGGAGGCTCAGGCAGGTCCCTGTAGGACACACAAGCAAGGCCCTCTGCCCAAGAGGGGTCATCCCCCAGCAGAGGCCAGGGCTCAGGCCCAGCCTCATGGATAGACTGACCCAGGACCTAACTTGGGAGGGCTCAGGGAAGCCAGACCCAGCCTCCTGGAGGGGTCAGATGACCCTCATGGGGAGGGTCACTGACTCTGGGGGACTGAAGCCCCAGTGGGCCCAGATCCAGCCACCAGCCTCCAGCCTGGACGAGCCAGGGCCTCCCACACCTGTGTCCCCACAGATCTCTCTCGGGCTCACCCTAAGCCTGTGGAGGGTGTATTTGGTAGAAAGGAACAGGTGTTGATGCCAATGGCACGCACTGCCTTCAAGGTTCAGAGGAGTAAGTCCACGTGTGCCCAGTGGGGCCTGGGAAGCTCTGGGGTCAGACCCCGACTGGCCCAAGGGCAGCTTCCTCACACTGTCCCCATGTTTCTCTGCTCCAGCCCAGAAGAAGGTCTGGCCTGGTGAGCAGGGCAGGGCACAGTGATGCCGAGCCCATCCCGCACGTGACCCAGATGAAAGTCGGGAGTGTGGCAAGCACTTCCCTGCCCAGGCCTCCCCCAAACCACAGCCTCCTGTGCACATCTGCACCCCTGTTGTGGCCACAAAATGATCCGGCACCACCCAGTGGGAGACGACAGAGGTGGCAATGGGGTGTCGGCTCTGACGCCTCCCAGGGAACTTTCCTGGCCTGATCCTCACCCTGTCCCTAGAGCACCTCATGAAGGCTTCCAGGTCTGGCCTGTGGGCGCGTTTTCAGGACCAGTTCCCCCAAACCTGGGCCCTGGACAGTGATGCAGTTCTTAGGCACCTTCAGGCCTCTGTGCTCTGTAAGGAAACTACCAGGAAGCATGGGGACCTGCCACCCCCAGGAAGGCTCCAATACCCAGTCCCCCCACCAAGTCACCTTCTGGGGCAGTCAATAGTGGGGGAGTGCCTGTGACCCCAAACCTGGGCCTTCCTCTTACATCTTTTCTTCCTCCTCTTCCTCCTGGATGCTAAGTAAGTGCAGGAGGCCCACCGGTCCTCAGGGCAGGCGCTCAGTGCGTGTGTACTGGTACTCAGTGCTGTGCACACAGGAGGGGGATGTGGGCAAGACCCTCCAACAAACCCCCTCCCACTTTCCATTGTCCTGCCCTCCCCCTCAAATGGCCCTCAAGGGCATTGGAAGAGCCAGGCCTATTTGGGGGAGCCCCCGCCCCTCCCTGCAAGCACTGACAGACTCAGAGAGCAGCAGAGGACCCTCACTCCTGCACACCCTTCCAAGGGTGCCAGAAAAACAAGTCTCGAGCCAGGGAGACAAGGGAATTGGTGTCCCTGACTCCCAGAGCATTCAGGGAGAGGGCACGGGTGGGACCCCTGGCCCAGAGCCAGAGCCAAGAGTTCAGCCAGCTGTGGGAACAGTCAGTCCCGGCATGGACTGGGCAGCCCAGGAGGGCAGAAAGGGCCCTGTGTCCGGGTCCTCTCACCCACTGTGGAGATAGGTCCCCATGTGAGGTGACAAGGGGGCTGGGTGACAACCAAGGCCCCTCCCACCTGAGTTCTGACTAGGGACTGTATCCCAGGCCCAACAGCCCTGGGATGAGGGTGGTAAGGCAGGAAGCCCCCAGCCAGCCTGAACCCTGGGAGGCAGTCCCAGAAGGCAGTCCCAGGAGCCACCTCCCATGCCCATACAGCTTTCCCACCCCAGGCGGCACACACTCCCTCCCTCTGGGATCAGCAGCCTACAGGCGTGTCCTGTCAGGCCACGGGGGCCACACAGAGACCCTGAGGACTCTAGAGACCCAGGCAGGTGGGGCCTGACCCGGAAAGATCTGCATGGGCTCACTGGAGATGCTGACCATATCTGTTTTCCTTTCAGCCAAACCTAAGCAAGGGTCCTCAGCACCCAGGCCTGAGCTGGCTTCACCGTGTGGCAGGAAGACCCTCTGCAAGGGGAGTAGGCAGGCTCCTCCAGGCCCACAAGCCCACTTCCAGCAGTGCATTTGGTCAGCTTCCCCGCCATGGGTGCCTCTTCCTTTCACACCCTGTCCTGTCTTGGTGGGGCTATCCCAGGGTGTGCCCAGACTGGCCCCAGCTCAGGGAGGACCTCGGGTTTCCTGGAGGTACCTGCAGTGGAACTCCCTGCCTCAGCTCCCAATGGACTCGGACGTGGTGAGCCCTTGGTTTCCCCATTATGATTTCGAACAGGGCTGTTGGGCCCGTGTCCCCTCCAAATGTGTCCTGGACAGCCCTGGGACCATGGGACAGACCTAGCCCAGGAAGCCCATGGGGACCTCGACACCAGGCCCTGCCCAGGCCCATCAGGACTAAGAAGGAGATCAGGAGATACCCCCACTGCAACATGGGCACCTGTATCTGGAAGGAACCAGGGTGGCACCCACCAGCTTCCCCGCAGCCCCAGATACCTTGGAAGATCCCATTCAATGGGGAAGCTGGTCCCATCAAGGCCACAAGAGAGAGACGTGAGCACGGCATCCCTGCAGCCCCAGACAGCCAGCAGTATGGACCTGGGGCACAATACCCAGGCCAAGAGTGGCCTGGCCTAGACCCCAGCCCTGGGAAGAGAGGGGTACCAGGGCTGTGGTGGGCTCCCAGCTGCAGTCAGCATGACCATGCAGGGGACCCTGGCACTGCAGAGCTCTGCATTGTCACAATTCACCTTACAGAACCGGGGAGAGATCTCGAAGCCTTGCAGCCACTGCTGCAGCCACAGCAGGTGCCACCACCACGTGCCTTCCAGCTGCCAGTGCAGGCTCTCCTGACAGCAGGGCACCCTGCAGCCCTCACCTCAGCAGCTCAGACTCTGAAGGTATCTGTTGTTCATGTTCCCAGTGCTCCCACCAAAGAGAATTACTACAGAGAATACTCTTGGTCCTGAGGTGGGCAAAACAGCATGCCCTGTGGATGGAGCCGGCTTCTTTCCCAGCCACCATGCTTGCTGGATGGGCCCGCAGAGCAAGTGGCCATGAGACGGGCATGGGGACGGGAGAGGCTCAGCATCCTGCACATGCCCTTACCAAGGCTCACCAGGCTGACACCACTGCTGAGCGCCTTGTCTGTGGAAAACAGATTCACACCCAACCCCTGGGATGGCACCATTTCCCAGAAGGACCAGCTGGCCACCTACTGGCAGGCTGACCACACTGCGGAAGGGGCTGAGATTGGCTTTCACTGCACTGAGCCACAACGTGGACATGCACTTGCCGGCCCTGCAGTGCACACAGCACTGCTTCCGACCAGGGCACCCCATTCACAGCTAGGGACAAGCAGCAGTACACTCCCGAGGCCCCACAACCCAAACAAGCTTCCCATCCTCGTTTTACTTTTTTGTTAAACTTATGAAAATTTATGAAGAAAGTGCACAGCTCTAAAGACATTAACAGATGGAACACATCAGCCCCCAGATCACAAAGCCAACCCAGCCTCTGCGCCCCCAGCCCTGCAACCAGTGTTCTGACTTCTGACAACACCATGAGCCTGCCTTTTGTACTTTACACTCATGGAAGGATAACCACGTCCATGTTTTAAAATAAATGTTTACTTTTGAAATGATTTTAGATATATAGAAAAACTGAAAAGGCATTATAGTGTACTCCGACACCTTCCGTCCAGCTGCCCCTAATAATGACATTTTGCATTACCATGGCACATTTGTCCAAATTAAGAAATTTAGGCCAGGTGTGGTGGCTCACACCTGTAATCCCAGCAGTTTGAGAGGCCAAGGCAGGAGGTTAAGGTTCATTTGAGTCCTGGAGTTTGAGACCAGCCTGGGCAACATAGGTAGACCCTATCCCTGGAGAAAAGTTAAAAAAAAAAAAAAAAAAAAATAAGGAGCCAGGCATGGTGGCGTGTGCCTATAGTCCCACCTAATCAGGAGGCTGAAGCAGGAGGATCGCTTGAGCCCAAGAGATCCAGGAAGCAGTGAGCTATGATCGCACCACTGCATTCCAGCCTGGGCGACAGAATGAGACTTTCTCTCTTAAAAAAAAAATTAAGGAATTTAACATGGGTGCAATCCTGTTAACTGAATAATAATGTTAACTATTATTTAAGGTTATTAATGCTGTCACTATATTAATATGGTGAAATTCATTCAGATTTCACCTGTTTTTGCTTAACTTCTGGTACCTGTCCCAGGATCCCACCTCGGACTCACCTTCTGTCTTTAGGTCATTCCTCCTTAGCTTCCTTCAGAGGTTGCAACCAAACACACACCTTGGCTGAATGGTAGAGCTGATTGCTCCTGGGCTCCAAACCTCTGCAGCATGTTACCATACTGAGTACCATAGGTAGTGGTAACACAATGATGGCTATTTGTGTATCTAAACACAGAAAAGAATGATAAAAATACAGTATAAATGATAAAAAAAAAAAAAAATTGGTACACCTGGCCAGATGTAGTGGTTCATGCCTATAATCCCAGCACTTTGAGAGACCATGCCGGGAGGATCACTTGAGCCCAGAAGTTCTAGACTAGTCTGGGCAACATAAAAAGACCCCATCTCTTTTTAGATATCAATTTTTAGAGATGGTACACCTGTATAGGGCAGCTCCATTATAACCTTATGGGACCACCATTCTATATGCATTCTGGCACGGACTGAAATGTTGCTATCTGACACATGATTGCATAGGTAAGTAATCTAGAGATGATTTAAAGCATATGGGAAGATGTGCTTAGGTTATATGCAAATACTGTACCATTTTATATCAAGACTGGAGCATCTGTGGATTTTGGTATTTGTGGGAGGTGGTGAAACTGATTCCCGACGTACGCAGAGAGACAACTGTAAACATTTCGGACCCCACAGAAGGCTCAATTGCCTGCCCCCTCACCCTCAGGTAAGCTTTCTAAAGTGTTTGTTTCACTTTACCTGCTCATCCGTGAGCCAGAGGGCTCCATCAACAGCTTGGGCTGTCTCAGAAAGACCTGGATTCAATCCCATTCAGCCACTTAGTAGCTGTGTCACTTTGGGCAAATCATGTAACTTCTCTGAACCTCAGTGTCCTCATCTGTAAATTGGGCCGATGGTGACCCTTACTTTGCAGGCCCCCGTGAGGACTAAGTGAGATGAAAGCTGACACCCCAAGTGACACCACTTCTCCCTTCCTCAGACTCAACAGGAAAACGCCTTCACTGCCCAATGCAAAGGCTATGGGGAGGATGAGAGGCTCCAGGGATCCCCTGTCCCAGGAGCATAAACCCTGGATTTTTGCTTCCAGAAATAACCTTCTCTAGGATCAGGATGGTTCTTAACTCCCCAAAGACTGTGAGCCCACCCTAGGCGGCATCTTCAGCAGTGGGGAAGGGGATGCACAGTGCCAGCCTCACCCTGGCCACTGTCTGCCCTCATGACTCAGAGCCCAGCTAGGTCCCCACGCAGAGCAGTGCAGGAACCTACCTTGGTCCCAGGCTCCAGCCATCCCGGCCACCCCCACCTGCCACCACCCTGTCTCCTCCATCCCTCAGCCCCTGCTTGCCTCGTTCACAGCTCAGTGTCCTGACATCTTAGCTCCTTGCATGTCACCGTCGTCTGTCTCCTCAAGGGGAGTGCAGCACAAGGGCAGGAAACTCGGTCAGTCTGTGGATGTGTCTCTGGTGTCAGGCAGAGATTAAAAGCTCCATATATACTTGCCCAGTGTCTGCGTGCATTCCAAAGCAAGAGACAGCTTTGGAAATGAGAAGAGACCCTCCTGAGGTGAGAGTCCTTAGTTGGCATTTCCCAAGTATTCTCGGCATGCCAGGCACTGAGCTGGACCCATGGACATGTGAGCTCTGGACCCTGTGGGTGCTGTCACTCATGTACAGGTGGGTCCGCCTGGACCTGGTGCAGTCACATAGCTCCCTGATAGCTAAGCTGAAATTGGAACCCGTTCAGTTTGGCTCTTGCTCTGCTCAATGGCTCCCCAGCTGCTCCAAGGGAGAGCTGAAGCCTTGCAGTGGCCTCAGGTCATTGAACCTGGGCCTTCTCTCCCTGAGCTATCTCCTGCTCTCCCCTAGCTCACACCAGGCCAGATGCAGGCTTCCCCTCTGGGCCTCAGGCATGCCAATCATGCTCCTGCCTCAGGGCCTTTGCACAAGCCATTCCCGCTGCCTGGAATGCTCTCTGCCTAGAAAACTGCTTGGCTGACCCATCACCTCCTACAAACCTTGCTCAAACCTTGCTTCATCAATGAGGACAACCCTGGCCATGCATCTAGAAGGGGCCCAGCACAGGGTATGTGCTCAATACACAGATGAAGAAAGAAGGGATGGAGAAGAGGGAGGTGGAGGAAGGGCAGAATGCCCATGGCCATTTTTATTCCAGTGATAACAGGTAGCAATGAATACCTAAGGGCAACGCGGATGGGGCAAAATGAAAGATCACAAAAGGCCAACATGAGCAGGTTGGGAGAGTGCAGCTCTACTCATCTGCCCTGATGCAGATTTGGGGACTCCAGATGTGTCACCTCTGGGCAGCCCCTTCTCGGCCCCCTCCCCACTGAGCTCTTCTTCCACCTCCAAGCCTGGCCCATCCTCCAGGGATCCAGGACAATATAGGAGACAGCTGTTTATCTCCCAGAACACTGGGAAAGGCTGTGGGTGGGTAAGATGCTCAGCGGCCCTTGAAACTCATCTCAGTTTTGCTCCAAATGTGCAGCCCTGCCACTCCTGTGAACAGGAAGAGCACTGGAATGAGAATCAAGACACTGGGCCCTATTCCTCTTGACATCTGAATATCTTCCCCATCCCAGCATTTCCCAGGGGCCTGGGAGAGGGACAGTTGTCTCATGTATTGTCCTGCTTTGTCTGTGTATTGAGCACATACTCTGTGCTGGATGCCTTCTAGATGCGTGGCCGGGGTTGTAGTCCTCATTGACGAGGCAAGGTTCGAGCAATGTTTGCAGGAGGTGGTGGGTCACCCAAGCAGATATCTTGGCAGAGAGCATTCCAGGCAGTGGGAATGGCTCATGCAAAGGCCCTGAGGCAGGAGCATGACCGGCATGCCTGAGGCCCAGAGGGGAAGCCTGCATCTGTCCTGGTGTGAGCAGAGGCAAGCAGCAGAGAGCTCAGGGACAGAAGTCCCAGGTTCAATGGCTGAGGCTGTTGCAAGGCTCTAGCTGTCACTCAGAGCAGCCAGGGAGCCAGCAGAGGGTCCTAGCCAGAAGTGGGTTCAGCTGCGGCTCAGGTGTTAACAGGCCACACCACACCAGCAGGGAGGAGAGGGGGGCCAGCTGGCTGGTCCAGGTAAGTAATGAAGGGTGCTCAAACTAGGTGGGAGAAGGCAGATGGTGAGTAGAGTCACCTCAGGATCATTGTGAGGATGTCACCTACATGATTTGCTCATGGACTTAATGGGGATGGGGTCTGGAGGGAAAAGGAGAGACCAGTCCACAGGCCCCATGAGCCATATAGAAGCCAGACTGAATGGGTTTTAATTTCAACTCAGCTAGCAGGGAGCTATGTGACTGCACAGGAGCCGATGCAAACTGGACAGACAGGGACATCCTCCCTGGACTACTGTCCCACTCATCCATCCATTCATCCATTGGCCCACCTCTAGTACTGTCCCAACTACAGCCCTAGCAAGCGGAGACAACAAAAAGACCAGTTTTCCAGCTTTGTGGTCTTGGAAGAAGTTGCTACCAGTATGAGGAGAGACAATCAGTTTCCTCCAGGATCCAGAGAGCATATCAGCCAGCCTGAGGGTCAGGAAAGGAGGTCGGCCTCTCCACCAGCTAGACAGGCCTGCAGTAGGATGGGGCTGGGGCTGGCCATGCAGATCACTTGGGCCTCATGAGGGGAAAAGAAAGACCAGGGGGCAGAGGAGGAGCATGGGGGCAGCTGGTGGCCTCAGAAGAAGGCACCTCAGAGAAGGGGTCTGTCTTAGTTTGTTTTGTTTTCACACTGCTATGAAGAAATACCTGAGACTGGGTAATTTATCAAGGAAAGAGGTTGAATTGACTCACAGTTCAGAAAGCTTGCAATCATGGTGGAAGGCGAAGGGGAAGCGGGCATCTTCTTCACAAGGCAGCAGGAGGGAGTGAGAAAACGAGGAAGTGCCATGCTTTAAAACCATCTGCTCTCCTGAGAACTCACTCACTATCAGGGGAACAGCATGGGGGAACCCAGCCCCCTATAATACAATCACCTCCCATGAGGTTCCTCCCTTGACACATGGGGATTACAGCTCAAAATGAGATTTGGGTGGGGACACAGAGCCAAACCTATCAGTGTCTCACGTCTTGCAGCTCCCCTGGGGCTAAAGCTGAATGCAGATCTGCTGACCCTGATCTACAGCTTGCGGAAGCTCTGCCTGTGTGCCCCCATCTGCTGCTTCCTAGGGTTGGGGCCTGCTTCCTCAAAAGGAGAGTGGATCTGTTCTCCTGCCAGCCCCCCACAGGGCCTTGTGGAGCCCTGGCCATGTCCTCCCAAGGTGAGGTCATAAAACTGGGCTCCTTGCCCTTCTTGTTGCTTGGGTGACAAGCCTCGGGTCATCCCTAGGTCCTGTCACTGCTCCTGCTTCTAAAAGGAGAGCATTTTGCCAAATCTTCCTGGGAGAGGCTGGGGGCTCATCCCTGTTATTTGTTCTAGCTTGGTAAAATGAGGTTAAGACATCTAGGCAAGCAGACAATAGAGGGGCACCCAGGAAGGGTGGGTGGCGGGTGCTGGCATTTGGGCTTGCCTGGACCTTGTGGGGAGGGGGAAAGGTTACCAGGAGGCAGCACTGTCAGTCAGGGCTAAAGTCAGGAAGTGGGGGGAGTGGGGGCAGAGTGTGGCTGGCTTGCGGGGGGGCATAAGTGAGAGCCAAGATTTGTCAGCATGCAGTGGGTGTGGCTGACACCTGGCCTAGGGGCTGTGGAGCCCAGTGGTTGCTCTTAGTTCCTGGATCCAGGGAGATTTCTGGAGCCTGTGCCTGGGGCTTTCTAGGGGTGAAGATGGTGAGGGGCAGGGAAAGGGTGGCAGAGGAGGCCTTGCATGGCAGGGTGCAGGGCAGGATGCTGGGCAGGGACCAGATTGCAGTGGCTGCTCTCATCCCCACCACTACCCCTACCTCTACCCCAACCCTGGAGCAGGGTGGGGCCTTGGCAGGTGTCCTCTGTTTTGGCCTCGGCAGATCACAGGATGGAAGCCAGCAGTCCAATAGGCGTGCCACTCAAGCCAGCAGTGACCTGCAGCTTCTGCTTCCTGGAGAGTGGGGTGCCCACCCAAGAGAGCACAAGCACACCCCACACCCCTGACCTTGAGGGCACTGGGAGGTGGGGGCACTGTACTGGGACCAAGTCCCGGCAGCCTTGTGCGTGTGCCCTGGAAGGTAGCCTAGGAGTCCTGCGTGTGCCTCTCTGCACAGCAGGGAGGGGTGGGCAGGAGCCTGAACAGTGGCAGAGAGGGAGAGGAGGAGGGAGAGAGAAGTGGAGAAGGAGAGAGAAAGAGACATGGGAAGAAAGGAGTGAGAGAGAGAAAGAGAGATGGGGAGAGAGACAGAGACAGAGGAGGCTGAGAGGGAGTGTGGGG
Source organism: Homo sapiens (assembly GCF_000001405.40). Taxonomy (NCBI): domain Eukaryota; kingdom Metazoa; phylum Chordata; class Mammalia; order Primates; family Hominidae; genus Homo; species Homo sapiens. Next base: position 104,373 of record NW_003315953.2, on the reverse strand, counting down.
AGAGAGATAAGGAGAGAGACATAAAAGGTAGAGAGAGAGACAGGGAGAGATGCGCATGAGCAGAGGTCAGGTCACTCTTGATCTTAGTTCCCAGTGCAAACTGTAGGTCACCATCACCTGCCCACACATGCACTAAAGAGCTCTGTGCCTGCTGCCCACAGCCCCTGAGAACTCCTTCTCTTGAAGAATAAAACTTTTGATGGCTGCCATTCCTCACTGGATTTTGGTTGTGTCTTTGATGAACCATGATGTCCCACCTTCCCGGGCTCAAGTCTCCACCAAAAGCTGATGCCTCTTTTTGGGAGGCTCTGCAGTGCCTTCATCTCACTAGGCTCCCCAGGAAGCTTGTGAGCTTGGGTTGGACCCTAAGCAGTCAGATACATGCTGGGGCTCTGCTTGTCTCTTTCACTAACAGGGAAAGCCAAGAAAGAGATTGAAGCATGGTCTGCAGAGAAGGCACTTGTGCAAACACCAGGAGAACAAGAAGCCTGAGTTGTCTTCATTTCTCTTAAAAACACTCATTCCCTCCCATGCCACCTTAGTGAGGGCATGAAGCACAGCATGTGTGTGTATGTGTGCAGGTATGTGCACATGTATGTATGTGCATGTGTGTGTGTGTTGCAGGGGTGTGCTGTGGACAGGAGGTCCAGGGGGCAGCTCCAACTCAAAGCTGCAAGTCTCTGTGATAGAATGGTCAAGATTCACTGGACCACAGCAAGAGAGTGTTTTCATGTGCATCCAGTTTTATTAGCATTTAAACCCATATTTTTAGTACCCTGTAAACCTTAAGTTGCTTATCTATTCTTAGAAGCATTTACACCAGTGGTCCCCAGCCTTTTTGGTACCAGAGACCAGTTTCATGGAAAACAACTTTCCCATGGGCCGAGGAGAGGGAAAGTTATGATTTGGGGCTGATTCAAGCCCATTACATTTATTGTGCACTTTATTTCTACTATTAATATATTGTAATATACAATGAAAAAATTACACAACTAACCATAATGTAGGATCAGTGGGAGCCTTGAGTTTGTTTTCCTGCAACTACATGATCCCATCTGGGGGTGATGGGAGACAGTGACAGATCATAAGGCATTAGATTCTCATGGGAAACTCTGAAGTTTCCCATCAGCAAGAAGCTAGGAGTAGAGAAGCAAGAGACCCTCTTCCCTCTCTCCTTTCTTGAAGGAGAGAGGAAAGAAGCCCCCTCAGCTAGCCCTGAAGGCAAACGTATGCAATGCTTTAGAGTTACTAACGTCAGAGTGGTGTAAGGACTGGAAAAGATGGTCCATGTTGAATCCACACTCCCTCCCATTCCCAGTCTCCTATTTCCAGGAAAAGCTGTCCAGGCCCTTCCCAGGCCTGCGTTTTGTTTGGGGCACATATGCCACCATAAACTCCATCACCTGCCATCTTGGAACTCTCTCTCCACAAATCCCTTTTTTCTTTCTACTTTTATTTGCAAAATTTCTGACAAAGAAAATATCATTGGAAGATATTCTCAGTAAAAATCAGGGATGTGTATTTGAAAGAGAAAACTGCATCCTGGGCAACAAAATGTCCTGAGACAATGAATCGGCTAGACAGATATCTTAGAGAAACGAACCAACCCAAATGTGGTCCTCATTGGCAACATACACATATTTTATTGATGCTTCTATGGTTAATAGCATTGCCATGCTCCTCTTGACACATGGTGCTTCCCAGTCCATCATAGAGGGGCTCATTGTTTAAATACTCATTGTTTAAACCTTGTATAGTGTTTCCAGGAGAGCTTTAAATTATTGTAAAAAAGCAGCTAGATTTTTTATAAAGTGACCTTTGACTCGCTTAACCTTATCCTTATCATAGTAAGTATGAAAATTACAGTACCTTTATACAAATACCTTATTGGAGGGGTCTGAACAAATGTCATTGCCATCACTTAGATTTGTGTATACATTTACAAAACCATAAAATGCCAGAAGGACATACATTTAATATACATTAATGCATACATTTCATATGTATGTCCTTCTAGCATTTTATGGTTTTTTAAATGTATATACAAGTCTAAGATTTTTTTAAATACAAACATAAACATGAACTGGCATTTTTCAATCAACTTCTTTAATTGGATATACAATTTGTGTGAGTTTGATAGAACTCGTTGGTCCAACCAAAGAAGTTCACTATTTTACTAGGTCTTCACTTGTTATCAGTCACAGCTTAACCTAATGATCATTAATGGGAAAAAAGAAAAAAATTAACCACTTTGTGCCTGGGACTGTGGTGTCCTGGGTCAAACACAAGATATTACAGGTTACTCAGCCTATTCTAAGCGTCATAAGTTTCCACCAGATAAACAGCAATGCCATGAAGACTTCAAGGATTAACACCCAGGATTACCACAATTATTAGTGGCTGAAATAAAGAGATTAGCCTTTGCTTTTCCATCCAATTCTTTTGTATTTTGTTTTCTTTTAATAGCAATAAAATACTTTAAAACAAACATCTAGTCAAAAAAAAAAAAGAACAGAGAAAATATATTTTACAACTTGTGCTTTCCTACCCAGAATCTGTGGCTGTTAATATTTTTTCATATTTGCTCTAAGTGGGTTTAAAATTAAGAAATACAGCATTGAGAACTTCTTTGACTTCCATATCCATTCTTATTCCAATCTCTTCTTCTCAGAGACAAACACAATTATACATTTGATATGTATGTCCTTCTAGCATTTTATGGTTTTATAAATGTATTACAAGTCTAAGTTCTTTAAAAATATAAACATAAACATGAACTGGTATTTTTCAATCAACTCCTCTAATTGGATGTACAATTAGTGTGAATTTGAGAGAACTTGTTAGTCCAAACAAGAAGTTCACTTTTTCACCAGGTCTTTACTTGTGATCAGTCACAGCTTAACCTAATGATCACTAAAGGGAAAAGAAAAAGAAAAAGTTTAGAAACATCCTGACTCTCTCAATTAGAATTCAAAACTTTCTAGAATGGATGCCTCACATTGTTACATTTGACCACCTTTGATTCAACAGCCCCTGAGCTTTATGTCTAGCAAGAGATGCCTAGAGCTCTATGGAAAAAAGGGGCAGCAGACCAGACCAAAACTTTGCAGTCTCAGCATATCACGGAGACACAGGGACGTGAGCATGTCAGGTAACTTTCTGGGTTTACACTTAAGCACCTCTGAGAACTGGAAAAACCCTTGGCACAAATTCAATCTTTGTGTGGGCAAACCACTTTAGTTCTTAGTTTCTGTTTACTGTTGGGCTTGGTTCAAATGTTGCATTCTGTACCCCTGTTCTTGCCACCAAAGTTCTTTCACCATGAAGTTGCACGTCTAATCCTATGAGTGTCATGGTTGTTAATCTAAGAATAACATACTGCCTTCAAAGAACAGCGTCAAGTTTGAGAAAAGGAAGAATTACTCCCTTCTCATTAGAAAAAAGACAATCATGTACCCACATGTTTCCTGCTCTTCTCAGTTGCCTAAGTGCGTCTTCTGTTGATAAACAAAAACATTTTTTGCTGCATAGTATTGCTCAAGCAACCCCTCTATGCCTCATTTCCTCATCTGCCCTAAATAGGTTATGCATTTCAGGCAGGCAGATTATTAATTATTTGTTGAGCACTTATTGTGTGCCTACTTTACGTCTGCCATAAAAGTACCACAAGGATCAGTTTAAAAAATGAGAGAATTCCTCAAAATTATTTAAACTGTCTGACTCAAGCTCTAATCTAGCAGGGACAATGGCCAGATGGAGTCCAGGGATGAAGTTTTGAGCTGGCTGCATGGGTTGTTCCAAGGCAGCAATATGCAGGTATGAGCTGTGCCAGGCACAAGAGCACCCAGCTGCAGGGTGGGATGGAGACGAGCTTATGTGCTGCTTGCCAAATCAGGCACCTACAGGCTGCATCCACCCAGAGAGAGAGCCTTTCTCTAAACCATTAATGGTGCACAGGGGTTATTGCAGACCTGGCTGAGAGGCCAAGAGCAGAAAAAGCTAGAGAGAATGGGGGCATATATCAGGAGGCATCAAAGGCCAGAATTAGGAAAAGCTAGAGAGAATAGGGGCAAATAATGCCCTGGAGGCACCCAAGGCCAGAACCAGAAAAGCTGGATCTACCATTAAATCCAAGGGGTGAACATGGGGTTAGAAATGGAGACAAAGGCAAGGTAGTGACAGAAACAGGGCCACAAAAAACGACCAAGCAAAAAAACTGACAATTCACTAAATGCCTAAGACAACTGCAATAGACATTTTGTTTTTTTCTTCTTCTCCTCCTTTCTTCCTCCCTGCCTTTCTTCCTTCCTTCCTCACTCATTCTCTCTCCTTCCCCCTCGTCCTCCTCTTCTTCTCCTTCCTCTTTCTGTTTTAGTAACAATCTCAGAGCACAAGTGTAAACCTTCAGTTAAACAGACAGCAGTGAGGCAGACATCTGCTTTTCTAAAATCCTTGACATCCAAATGTGAAACAGAGCTCACTAAAGCTCAGTTGCAAAATTCTAGATGCTCCTCTCTCCATCTCTAACCCATGGAATATTTTCCCTCTTATAGCCCCTTGAAGTGTCTATGCACTTCAGTTCATAAAATGCTGCCGTGGGGAACCAATCTAATTAAGCACTTACCAAGAAAGCATTCAAACTCTCTCATCTATGTCCTTTCCCTGCCCCCAGAGTGCACCCTTCTTAGAGGCATGTCCCTCTGTGCTGGTCATACCTGTGCATTACCATGCATGGCCTGCAGTCACTTCCCGCAGTGACCCTCCCACGTGTCCCCCTGGCTCTTTGACAATGGACCACACACCCTCTGCTCTCAGGGTCTTGGTAACCCTCATGTTTCACAGCAGCCAGCAGTCAGTCAGCCTCCACAACCAACCAAGATGAAGTCAGCATGTGCAGGTCTGAAATAATTATTAACAGGAAATACAAACACGTTAAATTTTACCCAGGCCTTTAATGATACACTTAATTGTTGGTTTCCTGTGTAGAAAATAGGCATAAGTGGAAACCAGTTCCCATAAAGTGACTAAAATTCCTATGACTTTGACACCACCAGCTCTGTGCTTTACTTTTATCTTTCCATTTGAAAATTCTGATTGTTATAATCAGCAAAAATACCACCAGTTTCATAATCATAATTAGCCATCTTCCTCCTAACACAGCACGCACACACACCTGCACTCACACACACAAGCATAGGTGCACAGACCCACACAGATGCATGCAGGCACATCTGAATTCATTTCTCTCTGATTCTCAGCCCTCGAGCTCAGATTCTTCAGTTTCTTGTCCCATCTGGCCTGTCTTCTACAACCCTCAATTTGAGAGAACCTGAAACTAGATTCTCACCTGGTTACTGAAGGACTCAAATGAGCAAAACCTTTTATTCTCAAGGCTGTGGAGACCCTGTGATGAGCAATAGGAAAGGGGTCAGAATGCAGGGCTGCTAAGGAAGTGAATAGGAACTCCATTTACTGGACACTTATGATGTATCTGGTTGGGTTGAGCATCTTTGCAACATAATCTGATTCTACCTTTATTTAAAAAAAAGTGAGGTGGTTATTAGTCTCCCATTTTCAGTTTAAGAAACCGTGGCTTAAAAAGCATAGTAACACAATGCAGGCTGAGATACAGATAGAGGTTACAAGACTGAAACCAGATTGAAAACTAAAGCAGTCACTTTCAAATGCATGATTTTTCTGAGGTTTGGTTTCTAGCCTTTCTTTTTTCACCTTTTAACCACTTTTAAAACTTTAAACACATTCACTCCCATGTGCCACACCCAAGCTTTAGCTCGTCGGGATCCCCCACAGCTTCATTTGTGCCGCTGCAGGAAGTCATCTTGTGTAGATGCCATCACATCCAGGCCGCAGCTGAGCAAGTGTTTGAATTTTTTGTAAATACATCTTTGACTGGGGAGGCTGTAAATCCTCCCTAGGCTTTACTATTGCAGGATCTGGCCAGCAATCTGCAATGCAATGGGGCTCTTTGTTCCCAGGAGGATTGGCAGGTTGAGAAAGAATAGACACACACAAGATAGTGAAAGCTGGGTCCGGGGGGTCACCGCCTTCTGGTCCTGCGATGCCACCAATGCACTGGATATAAATATAGCATTTGTTATTAAGTTTAGTGAGGGTGGGGGTAGGTTAGTGAGGGATTTCGGGTCATTTGATTATGAGGTGAGATGGTCACATGGGGATGAAGCAATTCTTTAACATAACATCTGTATGCAGAAGTACAATATACAGAGATAAGAATTTACAATATAGTATGTGCATCAGTAATTTCTAACAGAGCCTTAAAACAGAAACACAGTGTTTCCATAACCTGTGATTAGCAAGATATTAATCAGCAGTAACAGTTGCAGCAAAAGCTGGTTACAAACAATCCATAGAAACAGGACGTGAAGCTAGACAACAGGTTAGACCAGAAATTCTCAGAAGGGAGAATGCCTTAACCCTAAAGAGGCCTAGAAGAGCTGTGGCAAGATGAGGGCATTTATAGCCCTATCTTATCCATATGAACATGCACCCCTCATGCGTCCGTTTATAGGCTCTCCTCAAGGGTCGCATTCCGTTCTCAGAGCTATGAACATCTGCTTTTCTGGGATAGGAATCTTGGTGATGTGAAACATCCCTGCCTGCCCTTCCGTTCATAGACTCTGCAGGGGGAAGCACATCACACGCTGTTGGCTTATTCTGGTAGTCCAGCCTGGCATTGTCTTTACACAATCCTGCATGCAACTTTGTATTTACAATAATCAGGAGCATTTCATCTTTTATTCCATAGCAATAGTTTCAAGGGCTCCCCCTACACTTTACATTTCAGTCCTGTGCTTGTCCCTACAAGTTTAAAAAAAAAAAGTGAGAGTGAGGGAAAGCTACCTCTGCACACCTGCAGCAGGCTCAGCGAGGAGCCTGGTGGGGCCGGGGCCCACCTGCCTGGCACATAACTTCATCAAGTTGTCAGTGTGCATTTTGCAATAACAAGGGACAGATCATGTCATCCTCATATCCTTTTATAGTTGGAGCCATTCTTGGGACTTTTGGTGCCTGCTGCCAGACTCTCCTGTTTTTGATGAGAAATGTGAGCAGTTGTTGTTAGATGTCAGTGATTCTTCTTTGAAACATAAAAGAAGACATACCTGACTTGTAATTGTCATCCACTACCCTGAAACTTTAAATGTTAGTGTTCAGTAAACCTATTTTCCATTCAGCTGCCAATGCACTCCTTTTAATAAAAGTGTCAATCAAATTCATCCTTTTAACTCTCCCAAGGCTTTCCTCTTCCCTTGAAATGAAATCGGATCCTCCACAGAACTGGCGAGCCCCCATGTACCCTGGCCACTGCCCACACATACAGGCTGATTGTTCCTCCCCTACTCATCACTCCCGATGCCCTGGCCTTGCTCCCTTCTTCAAAGGCAACTGCCTTACTCCCTCCCTTCCTTGACTTTCTGTCCCTCTCTCTGGAAAGCTCTTTCCCTCTGCTCTGTTTCTTCTCTGTTTTCAGGTCTCAATGCAAATGTCACCTCTCAGGCAAGCTCTCCAAACTGAGACAATAGGAGCTCGGTTCACATCTGTCAAAAATAGGAGCAAACAGGCTGTTAGGAGGCTGAGTAGAATGTTTTACTGGGACTAGACAATATCAAACTTAGATCCCAAGAGCCCAGGAATTCGTATTCAAGGTCAAAGTGTCAACAACAAGAATACTGAGTCTTACATAGGTACCATGCTGCACCATTTATAAAGCACTTCCATACACAGGGGATCTTCACAACCCCACAATGCTGCCAGGCCAGGTCTCTCAAAAGGAGGACTCTGATGGTCAGGGGAGTCAACAATATATCCAAAACCAGGACCAAAAAATGTTGCCTCCAAAACAAGCCATAATTCTTCTTCTCATCACAGCATCCCACACCATCTCCTAGTGGGTAAGACTCATAGCCCAGCGCCATCATGGTTTATTTCACAGGGAAGGGTGGGGCAGGGATTAGGAGACATTTCCCAGGGTCTTGTTTCCTTGCTTCCTTGCTATGGGCCTCTCCCCTCAGAGCACTGTTTTCTGAGAAGGCCTGGCTCGAGGAGCTGATGACCTCAGCGACTGCAGACCTGGGAACCTGCAGAAAGGAGAAATTAAGTTTGCACCTGGGAAAGCCCAGGGTTGAATAACAGAACCTCGCCTTTAAGAATTCTTGCTTTTTTTTTCCTGCCTCTGCATTGTTGCTGAAATATACAAGAGAGAAAGAAAGGATTCTGAACCCATTATTTATCTCCTCCTTCCAAGCAAGCAGCAGACATTCATGATTAATGATGAGGTGACTTTCTACATTGATTTAATTGAAATCTGTATCCTATCCAGGTTATTTTTAAAGTTTATAAAGACCTTTTCTACTGATTCTTCTCTTCCAAACTCAAATAAAGAAATGTTTTATATACATGATCTTCCACTAAAAAGGAGCCCAGACTCTCAGATCCTCAGGAACATCTGTTCTCCATTCTATAGGACTGTGCTGCTGAAGACAAATGGAGTAGCGAGTGACCAATCTTTGAGACTCAGCATTCTCTCTATGTTAGCCCTAACGCAAAAGAGAGGACTGGTCCGCACCTAAGGGAAGAAGGTGGCCACGAGCAACTGTTGAGGGCTGGTCTCCTTAGCTGTCCTCTGGTATCCACAGCCCTGAATGGAAGGTTTTGGGTATTTTTCCCTGGACATCTCTACCACACCTAAATATATGGTCTGCAAGTTTTGGAGAGAATTTCCAACCCCCACTCTACCTCCTGCCCCTCCCTACCTGTTCTCATAGGTTGATGATATTCTAATCTCTATTAAGAGTTCCCATTCTCAATATCTCTTCATTTCAATCATTGATTTAGAAAAGTAGGAGTAGAGAAGTGAAAAATGAGACTCAATCTCATTTGTGGGCTGGGCCTTGGGTTTCCTTACTTGATTGCTGTTTTTGTTTTTTTAAACATTGCCAAATCTGGATGCCACTGAAGGCAGTAATGTGACATAATGATGGTCCCAACTGCATATAAATAAAAACAGGTGGGGCCAAAGCTCAAGGCTCACTAGGACAAAAGAGACTTTTCCGCCAAATAACCCACTCACAGTTCTCCATCATCTGACGCAGACCCCAGGCAACTGAGCAGAGAACTCCAGCATAGAGTTCCAGGCCCACATCATAGAACTACAGAAAGTCACAAGGAGTCCTTGAGTGCCGAGGCAGGAACAAAGAGAGGAAGGTGAACCAAAGGCACCTCCCCACCATCCAGCCTAGCAGATCCCACACTCCTCCTGGCCACTATATCCCTCTACCCTTTGCTGCTCCTTCCTACTTTCTACCTAAACATTTCAGCACAGCATGGTTGTGTGTGTGCATGTGTGTGTGGTGTACATATGCTTATATGGTATGTGGTTATGTATATGTGTATATGAGATTATATACCATATGTTAAGGTGATAGATTTATATTACCTCAGTACAGGTTTTTTTTTTACTCAAAAGGTTTTCGGATCCCTCCACTTAATGTTTCAGAATAAATAGTTCCTGTGTCTCTAAAGACACCTTCATATGAATTTGCCATTCTGTTTCCCACCACCTTCTTCCCAAACACTAAATCCGGGTTAATAGTCTTTCATGGAGGCTTTTCCATTGAAGGAAATCATAGGCCATATATGGGGTGAATAACCTCTTCATCTGATGGAAAAACTCTGGTTATTTTTTTAATTTATACAAGACAGCCAATTTTGGAATTAATGAGTGAAACAGACAATTATAACTTTTGAATAACAGTTTATTAGGAGGTTAACAAAGGATTTCTATTGCATCTCCAAAGACCAAGAGTGACAAGGAAGATTTGCTCCAATTATGTTCTGTTTCATAGCATGCCCATCAGCTCTATCACATTTAATGGAATTTTCTCTAAATTGTATTATTTAAGTTTTATTCAAGTATAACATGTTATGCAAATGTGTCTTTATGGTGATAGATATTGCTTGATCTTGATCCTGCTGTAGGTCTCTCTATGTGACTCAGAAGACAGATTTTGCAGCCTTATGCTGAAGAATCAAGCCAGGGAATACAGTGGAAGGCTAGAGCTGACCCCTGGAAGCCAGGGTTGATAGAAAGGTTTCTGCCTCTTTCCAAAGTGTGGTCACTGTTGGAGATGTTGGGATGAAGTAGAGTTGAGGTGTGACTGATGCCTTTCTTCTCCTCCTGGTTGTGGGGCCTCTAGTACCCAAATGTGTTGCAAGGCCCACACCGAGCACGTAGGCCACAGGGATTAGAGATACAGGGCCCAGTGGACTTGTCACATGCATTGGTTGTGGCGCAGGGGTTGGAGGGGAGCCTGTGGGCAGAAAATCATTGGAGCAAGTTAGAGTAAAATGAGCTGAAGAGATTGGAAAATACTAAAAGGGCTTTGTGTAAGAATATTGTTCCTCCTTGGACTTCCTCCAAACAAAAGCTTGAAATTATAAATTCATTTCCATCAAGAAGACTATTCATCTCCACAGCAACCTAACATGCCCCAAGGAGAAGATTACTACCCCCATACTGACTTGCAGTCCTCGCTCTCCAGCAGGCTCCGGTACGTGTTGATCTCACACTCCAGCCGCGCCCGCACGTCCAGCAGCACCTGATACTCCTGGTTCTGCCGCTCCAGGTCACTGCGGATCTCCGCCAGCTGGGACTCCACGTTGGTGATCAGTCTCTGCACCTGGGACAGCTGGGAGCTGTAGCGGGCCTCGCTCTCTGTCAGCGTGTTTTCCAGAGAGTCTCGCTGTGGTGGGGAAGATTGAGAGTGTCAGAGAGCTGCTCCTTATAAGGTTCCTCCATGGGGTTCCAAAGAACTCACAAGCTCCAAGAGCTAAGGAGAGTGTGTGGCCCCAAGGGCATCCCCAAGACTCTGCCTCCCAAGTTCCCATCGCTCACCAGCAGGTCTGAACAATACACACCAGGTTGTGCTGGGCCTGCAGCTCGATCTCCAGGGCATTGACCGTGCGTCTCAGCTCGATGATCTCCGCCTGGTAGGACTGCAGCTGCTCCGAGCTGGATACCACCTGCTTGTTCAGCTCCTCGGTCTGAAACACCCAAGGGGAGAAAGGATCAGACCCTGCCTCCGGGGCCCTGGGGGGCCTCGGGTCCTGAGTGGCCACGTGCTTAGATGCCCACCTGCGTGGCGAACCATTGCTCCACTTCCCTGCGGTTGGTTTCCACCAGGGCCTCATACTGACTCCTGGTCTCATTCAGGACCTGGTTCAGGTCCACAGTGGGAGCAGCGTCCACCTCCACGTTGAGGCGGTCTCCAAGCTGGCAGCGCAGGGTGTTAACCTCCTGATGGAGAAAGGGCAAAATTTTAAATTTCACAAAGGATCTTGGTGCTCTCCTTAAGAGAATGCAATTCAACTTCTGATCATTCTTAAGCTTTCAAGAAACTTTGTTCCCTCTGATCCTGTCACTAACCAGGATCTATATTCAATGACTAATTTGTATACTCCACTTTTTACAAACTACTTTCAAGCCCATGACTTCCCTCTGCTCTTTGTATTAAATGTATCACTCCTCATTTAGAGAGATTCAGTGATTTGGGCTCAAAGCTGATACATGGTGGGCCATTATTTAAACTCTGGTCCCCAAATGCCCAGTTCAGTGTTTTTGCTAGTATACCATATAGCCTCACATGTTTGACTCTTAAGCATGGATAATAAAAAGAACAGAGTCTAGCTAAAGAGGAAATACAGAATGCTTACTTCAAAATCTGCCATCCTGGCATAGAAGAGACTTAAAGGGTGATTTGTTGATTCCACCAGCATAGATTTTGCTGAAGGCAATAAGTATCTGTTTACTTCCCTGCTAAGCATAGCTTGGTACTTGGGCTTAGGCGGATTTCAGACAAATTTGTATTCAACCTCATCTCTACCACTTAATACATTGCTTCTAGAAGCTTCTTGAAGCCTCGATTTCTTCATCTTAACATGAGAACTGCCTCCGGAGTTAAAGCACTTAGCACAATGTTTGGCACATACTAAGCACTTGATTAATATTAACTGTCACCATTTACATTGTTCTTGGATTTCAGGTTGCATAAAATACACGTCTTCTTTTTTGCCCAACTGACTTAGCCATAATGGTGAGCATTTTGCTCAAGGCTGTTTCCAAGCAACACTGAACAGCAAGCAGAAAGAGCTCTGGACAGGAACGAAGAGAATTGCATTTTGTTCTAGCTCAGCCCTCTCTGCCTGATGGGCCTAGGCCATCCTGGCTTCTCCAGCTACAAATGGAGAATTGGAATAGAAGATTGCTGCTGCATGCACTCTAACCTGGGCACAGGAGAGGCTGTGGCTTCTGCCTCATTACCCAGCTTTCCTCACTACTGGGCTTGCCAACTTCCTCACTCTCATTCCTGCCTCTGGCAGAAAAATCCTAATCTCATATCACAGGTTTTTAGATTAGTCATTCTCTACATATCCCTTTTTGTATGCAGAATTACTTCCTCAGCTAATTGAGCCTCTACTGACAGCCTGTCCTGGACCCTGTGGCAGTTGTGAAACAGGTCCTGGCTAGTCTGAGCCCATCACTCTTCAGGGAACTCACCTGCTCATGGTTCTGCTTGAGGCACAGCAGCTCCTCCTTCAGGGACTCCACCTGGGCCTCCAGGTCAGACCTGCACAGGGTCAGCTCATCCAGGATCCTGCGCAGGCCATTGATGTCCGACTCCACCAGCTGCCGCAGGGACAGCTCGGTCTCATATCTGTGATCACAGGAGGGTCAGGAACAGGCTGGGCAGGAATAGGCCTGGCCTTGACTCTGCTTTGGTTTGGTTAGTCAGGCAACTAGGAATTAGGGTTTGTAGTTTTTATAGCCATCTCTTTTGTTTAGGTTTTCAGCATCGAGCTGGAAGAAAATGCACTGGTAATTTTACGTTTAAAGATCCAGTGGATAGACTTCTATATTCCTAGCTATTCAGGAGGCTAAGGGGAGAGGGTTGCTTGAGCCCAGGAGTCTGAGGATCTGAAGTTACACTGAGCTATGATTGCACCACTGCCCTCCAGCCTGGGTGACAGAGCAAGGCCCTGTCTCTAAAAAAAAGAAGAAAGCCAGTGGATTTAGGATAAAAGCTGACAAACTGTAAGACTTCCAAAATAATATGCTTCCACATTCTCCATTCTCATGAATGGGTTCTGTGCATAGGAGAACATCGGGGGCCAACACGTCTACACTAACTCACAGTACGACTAGGGGTGTCACGTCACAGAGGAGAAGAAGGAGGAAAGGAAGTCTAAGGCCTGGGGAAAGGATCTCTGAGCTACGGTGTGTGGTGGCTCTGTGAATCTTGGAGAAAGCAGCTAGAACATAGCTCAGTCACTGTTTGTTTAACTTGTGTTGACAACAGGCTAAAGGAAAGGAGGGCTGCCAGAGAAGAGAAATAAACAGCAACACCCCGCTTGCCCACTCACTTGGTCCTGAAGTCATCTGAGGCCAGCTTGGCATTGTCGATCTGCACCACAAGCCTGGCATTCTCAGACTTGCTGCACAGGATCTAGAAGGCCCAAAACATTCAAGAATGAGCAAGGACTTGGTAATTTTTCACCAATGGCAGTCCTTCCTAATTCACTTCCTTGGAAGGATCAGGATGTCTATCTTATTAAATGCTTTCTATATACAGCAGGTACTCAATGAATATTTCCAAAATTATATTCAAAAAAAGAACACCAAAATATGCAAAAAGTATAAGTAGATAATCTTTTTTCTATCCTAATGAGCAATACTGAGAAGCTGATCATAATAGTTGACATTTATGAAAAACACCTACTATGTTTCTGGCATGATACTAGGAGCTGAGGATACAAAAATTGGTAAGCACTTGATCCTGCCCTCAAGAAACTTTCAATCAAGCAGAAAAGACAAATAGGTAAACTAGCAATTGCAGGGGACTGGATCAGGGAAGAAGCCACATGTTCCCAGATGTCCCAGACAACTGGGACTACTTTGTCCTAGGTAATTTCCAATCTTCCCAATTTGGGCCAAACATTTTAGGCTCTCACTGGACACTGTGCACCAGGAGAAGCCCAGAGGCATGAAGGTGAGGACAATGAAATCAGGATAAGTAGGAACCTAGAAGAGAGAGGCAGCCAGCAGTCCAAGGGGCAAAAAGCTCAGATGAGGGAGAAAGAAAATGGCCCAGTCTTTACAAAAGATTCCGTTTCCCCAGCTTCCTTTGGACTCAGTCCTTTTCTCTCACCTCAGGGTAATAATTCTGGAGCTTGGCAGGTGCATGGAAGCATTCAGAGGTAGTTTTTAATTACAGCTCATTTATGCAAAGTGCTGCTACCTCCACATAGACTAACACTATGCAAATATTTAGACCTAACAGTCCCAAGTCTAGTATTAGATGGGCCCTCAAAAAACAAAATGGAAAGGCCAGTTTTCAGCTTTTCATTCACATCAAGAGCTTACGTTGTTTCTCAATCACAACTCGGATTCTCTCCCGACAACTTCCTACTGGAGGCACTGTGTCGCCCACTCCTCACCTTCTGCTGGAGCTCCTCAATGGTCTTGAAGTAGGACTGGTAGCTGGCACACACCAAGGGCTCCTGCTGCTGTGACCGCTCCCGGATGAGGTTCTCCAGCTCCGCGTTGTCCCGCTCCAGCTGACGCACCTTCTCCAGGTAGCTGGCCAGGCGGTCGTTCAGGAACTGCATGGTCTCCTTCTCACTGCCATTGAAGGAGCCCTCACAGAACCAGTTGCAGTTGCTCACATTGGCGGGGATGTTGCAGGCCCCGGGCAGGGTGCAGCCGTGGCAGCTGGGGGGCACACAGGGCCGGGAGGAGCAGCTGGTGCGGCAGCTCAGGCTGGGCAGGCCACAACTGTAAGACATGGTGCAGGGAGGGAGTGTCCAGCTGAAGACAGAGTCCAAAATCTCCAGGTTGTAGAGCGGTGGGTCTCCTTCCTCCAGGGAGCATTTATACCTCGTCCATGGAGGGTGTGGACACGTAAGACAACCCCTTTTTTTTTTTTTTTTTTTTGCTCATTTGGTGATTGTCAAAAGCCCTTCCCTCCATTTGTTGTGTTTCTTCAGAAGAGTCTCTCCCCTCATAAAATACTTTACTTGGGCTTCTCGCTAAGTCGGGACTCCTCTTCCATGCTGTGTGTCATGATGTAAGAGCTTCATGGTGTGACTTCAAAGACCTGGACTCATGAAAGCCCTGGCCTTCTTCAGTGGGGTGCAGCAGGTCAAGAGACAGTATTGCTGTTCTGCTTTGTGGCTTGAGGCCCCTAACTCTTTGGCAAGCTCTGGCTCTCCTTGGTGAAATGGAAAAGCATAGCTCTTGCCCTGTGTCTTTTGCTAGGTCACATTTCCAAGTGCCAAATTCCAAATTCATGGTTCTCAGAAAGAGGAATAGATCCTTTCTGGGACAGTTCCTGATGGCCATGTTTCCTGATATGATGGGCTTTTTTCATGTCCATGATGACGTCAATCAACCAAATAATAGATATCCACTATGACAATTTCATCCAGGGCGATGTAATAGACACTGGGAGGGGTGGAAAATAGGACTCAATGCTATGGTCAGAAGAAGTTCTTACTTGTTAAGAAACTGCACAAGCCCAAGGTAGTGTGGACACTTTTCACAAACTAGATCCTTTTTACAAACATGATCCTCAAACATGCAGAACTTAGATGTCCATTATTCCTCACCAGAACTCTTAAAGGTAAACTGTATAATTCCCATTTTATAGATGAGAACACCAAGGCATAGAGGGTGAGGATAATAAGTTGTGGACCTAGGATTCCAAAGCAGATCACTTTTCTTTTCATCACAACACTTGGCTTAAATATAAATGGCTTACTTCCTTCCCTTCTTCAGACAGGCCGTCCCTTTCTCCTCTCCAAGCTCTCTTTTTACCTTGAGCATGACACTGTCATGACTTATGTGCTTGTCTCTCTGTCTCTATTTGAGGTCCCTGAAGGCAAGGGCAGGGTCTAGTTTGTCTTTGAATCCCCAGCTCTAGGCACCTGGTAGGCACTGTTGAATGGGTGTGGGTAGAGTGATGAAGGGATGAACAGGAAATAATAATCTGAGGCAGAAGTTGACAAGTGATAACTGAGTGGTTTACACACTGGGGAGGGCGAGCAGCTCCAGGATTGGAGGCTCTTAGGAATGGATGAATGGATTTGTGCTGGGATAGGGAGGCTTCTAAGAAGCAGAGGGGAGAAAAGTAGGAAGTGCAGGTGAGGAGAATAATGTGCACACAGGAATGGGGTGGGAAAGCCCAAGGCATGGTTGAAGGACCAGGGTAAGTCTAGGCAGCAGGAAGGGGAGAGTTGTGAAGGGAAGTGCTAGAAATTAAAGCTTTATGGGGGATTGTATGGGGACCCTATGGTAGGGGGTCTCGATGGTGAAGTGGAGCAGCTTGGACTTCCCCAGAAGCTGTAGAGCCAGTATAAGCTTTTGAACCTAAGTGTGGTGTGACAAAAGGTGTTTTAGGAAATGTTTTAGCAAATATTTATCTGTTTTTGAAAAATGAAGGAAAGATTGGAGGCAAAGAGTTCAGCAAAGAGACTATTGCAACAGTCCATGCAAGACTAGAATTTATGGCAGGGATGATGATACAGATAAGGTTTAGTACAAGTGAGAGAGTTAGAGAACTGGGCCAAGGGAGAGTACAAAGAGAAGAGCAACAAGGAGCTGAGGACCAAACTTTGGAGAATTTCCCAATCAGAGATCAGGAGAAGGAAAAAGAATCTGTGATAAATGGAGAAATGGTGAGAAAAAAATGATAAAAACAAGTTCATGGCATCCCAGAAGGGCAGGAAGGAGGGTGCTTCCAAGAGGAGGTGATGTTAGAAGTGCCAAGTGCAGCAAAGGGGCCGCACATGATCAGGACCATGGAGAGGGTATTGGCTGCCTTGACCAGAAATTTACCAGGACCTTTCCAGGGTCACACAGGTATGCCTGCTGTACGCAGCGCCTGTGCACATTCTTAAAGTAATGCCCACAGTGAACTTCGGTAAACCAAGACTTCAAACACACAGAATTGAGATGTTCATTACTTAGAGAAGTTCTGCTGCAATAAATTTATATATCTGATTATTAAGCTTGGAGCTTTGATCTTACCAATACAGACTTTTATACAATAATTGGAGTGGGCTTTACGCAGATGCCAGACTTGTTTGAACTTGATGATTCGTAATAGTTTATTATTTAGGAACAATTATCCAAGAAGCATGAGTAATCTGAACTGACCGTGCATATGACACCACTTCTGTTTTGTCACAAGATGTAAGATGAGCCTTATTTGATATCCTAAAGAGGCAATGAGGAAAAAATTCAAGTATGGGCCTGAGGAGGCATACATTGGCCAGAAAGAGGAGGGGCTTCCTATGTCCTTGCTAGCAGAGGATAAAGCAGACAACAGATTCCAAGCCTCCCAGCTACAGCTACCAATCCAAGCAGCTTCCAAGCCTCCCAGCTACAGCTACAGACCAAAAACCAGATGGCTTTGCATTTGGCTCTTCTCTTCCTCCCTCTTACCTCCTAACATAGATCCTAAATATGAAAATGGTTAAAAGAGAGAGGGAAAATCTTGGAACAAGATATTGGGGATCCTAATGGTCAACTCATCCAAACCGTTCGTTTTACGAAGGGGAAACTGAGGCTCAGAATGGAGAAATGCCTTGCTTAGTATCATCTAGCTAGGACCCAGATCTTCTGATTCCCACTGCATTATCAGCCCAATCACCATTCTACTGAAATGTTGAAGAATTTCACAAACAATCTGATCTGTTATTACCTAAGGACAGAAATCAAGGGCAGTGAGAAAAACATCTTGTTAACCATAGATATGCTGTGTTGAAGAAGAATTATGAGTCAATGTGTAAATAAAGATAGAATTCAGCAATAGTACAGTTTCTTGTTAACTCTCTGATTTCAATTATTTCTAAGTTGATGATACAATTATATACCAACAATTTGGAGTAATTTAAACATAATTATATCCCATCAGATATAGATTATATCCCATCTGTTTGGAGCAACTTAGAACAATTGGTCAAACAATGGTGACCCTACTCGACAGCAATATGCTTATCCAGAGTAAGGTACACAAAAGATAGTCACAACAAAATTAAACTATTATTAAAATGGGGACAATTGAGAGATTAAAGAAAACACACCACAATGACACTGGATGCTATTAAATGACAGGATTATGAATGTTTTTTTTCTTCTCTCCAAATTCTTTGAAAATATATGTTACTTCTGCACAATAAACAAAATAAAATTTACATTTAAAATTTCAGAAGGAAATTCTTGCAAATCTTCTAGAGGAACAATGAGTTATTAAAAAAAAAAAGCCTAGGAGGCTCCTGTTCCAATATAATTACTACATTACACTTGAGCCTGTTCTAGAAATAAAGTCTTTGTTGTGATCGGCATTCATGCCCTTGTGATATCTGCTGACTTTGTCCATTCCAAAGGTGAGCTACTAAGAAGGAATGAAGGGAAATCAAGCTACCTATAGCTCATGAATTGACTGGCATGAGGTCTGAGCTTCGGGTGAAGGAGAAGACAAGGAGGAGTAACCCTTGGAGAAACATTCTGCCATTGACTGCTAGCCCATGGTCCAAGATTGGCTGCTAGAACCACCTCATATTGACCCGCATCCATAGACTATACTTCCCACATACACATAAGGGATAATTAAATTTCTTTTCTGGAAATACTATCTAAGTCAGATAAAGCCTACAGGCTTAGCATGCTGGAGTTACCAAGGACCTAACTGGTCATTTCACTCAACTCTTTCATTTTAAAAATGGGATAACTTTGACCCAAAAGGGGAAGTGACTTGCCCAAACTTGCAGAGAGCTTGTGAAAGAGTCTAAACTGAAAGAGGATAAATTAGACTAAAGAAATAGGATAAGGCTTTTAGTCTTTATGAGAGAGTTCAGGCGGAGACCACCGAACGATGCAAGTCTCTCTAAACACTAAACCCTTAGTAAAAAGGTGAACTAGAAAAATAAAGGATGCTTGTTGTTAAAGGAAAACTTTAAAAAGCTGAACTATCTATCTCTTAGTGGGCTCTAATTTTAAAATTATAATAGTAAATAATAGTAAATAGTAAAATAGTAAAAAAAAAAAGTAAATAGTAAAAATCTCCTTTGAGATTGTTAAACTAGTGACCTATTTATCATTAAGGTTTGGGGGTTGAATCAATGCAAGAACCTTCATGCTGATAAATTAACAAAACACCCAAGGAAATAACTCACAATTAGCAAGGAGGAGAAGATACAAGAAACAGAAGGTTAAAGCCAAGTATATTAAATAACTATGTTTAAAGAGCTTATACGACAAAATAAGGAATCAAATCCCTAAAAGAAAATGGTAGCCACTATGCAAAAAGTATAGGCATGTTTAAAAAAAAAATGTCAAACAACTTCTAAAAGTGAAGAGTATAATTTAAAGTGCAAATTTTAAGTGTAAAATTTCATCACTAGGTCTTTTGTGGCTTCAAAAAATCAAAATTTTCTTTTGATATCAATAATATTATTCAGGGTGCTAAATTTTCACTCATCTCCTACTGAACTAATGAAATTTTAATTAAAAACAAAGTTTTAGCTCTCATAATTCTATTGGACATTTTTAGATATTTTATACTTCTCCTATTAAGTCACAGCAATTGTTTAATTGTTGCATTTGTTCTGTCAGCTTAATTTTATTAATAATTGTTCCACAGAGCTTCACAGAAATATTTTAACAGAGTTCTAGGAGTCAATAAATTTAATTGTTTTACTTTTTTCATTAAATGACAAATTCATTTTTATAAAATTAAGTTGACTCCTAATAGATTTTGTCTGGGAATTGATGTAATTTTGTTAGTTTTTACATGGAATGTTGCATTTATTCATTTCTGTTAAGATATAAAATATGCATTTCTGCCTTATTATTCCCTTTATTCAATCACTTTTTATGTATCAAATTGTTGTTAGCTTTAATAGCTGAAATATCCCTTTCTTACAAAGCCAAATAAAGTATTGTCATCTCTGTTAGAATTGCATTTATTAAAGCCAATTCTAAAAAAATTAATAATAAAAGAGCCTTTCTTTTCTACAAAAGTAAAATACAACAAATTTTCAAACTCGATTGATAGGTTAAACATTAAATTAGACAAAGATGAAAAGAGAATAAGTCAACTGGAAAAGATCTCTAAGGAAATTTACCAGAATATAACACAGAAATATTTAGAGATTGAAAATATGAAAGAGATGACAGACAAGCTAGAATGTGAAGGTCCAAAATCTGTTTGAAGAAGCACAGAAATGGTGGTATGAAGAGCTTGGGGAAGTCTCTCCCCTAGAAAGACATCTATTAAGCCACTCAAAATTAACAAAGACATCAGTCAAAGGCTCTAGGCATTGATTAAAGGGCTTACAACAAATGAGAAGCATTTACTCAACAACCACACACAAAAAATGGAAACTTGATAAGAACACTGGGGGCTATGATGTTTAAATGAGGGACTCCATTATTTCTCATGTCTCTGCCTTCCAGAAGCACCATGTGCTGGGCAGCTGAGTGGCAGTTCCCAATCCTCCCAGCAGCCAATACACATCAGCAGATCCCATTTTTCATAGCTCACCCATTTCTAACCCCAGTTCCCTCTACATAGGGAGGATTCAGGCAGGGTGGCTTGAGGAGTGCAGTCCTTCTTTCCTGCACACCTCTGTGTTACAGGAGAGATGTTCCATTGGGCTCCACAGTTAAGATGGCAGTATCACCCAAGTTGATCTAAACTTTCAACAACACCTACCAAAATCCCAGCTAGCTGTTTTATAGAACTTGACGTGTTGTTCCTTTTATTCATGTGGAAATGCATAAGACCAGAATAGCCAAAACGATCTTGAAAAAGAAGAACAAAGTAGGGGGATTAACATTTCATGATTTCAAAACTTACTACAAAGCTACAGTAACACAGACAGTATTCTATTGGCATAAAGATAGACATACAGACCAACAGAATAAAATTGAGAGTCTAGAAATAAACCCTCACATTTATGGTCCATTAATATTCAACATAGGTCCCAATATAATTAATGGGGAAAAATAATCTTTTCAGTAAATAATGCTGGGACAACTAGACATCCACATGCAAAAGAATAAAATGTTTGACCCCTTTCTTACACCACAGACAAAAAAAATGACTCAAAATGGAGCACAGCCTAAATGTAACAGCTAAAACTAGAAAACTTAGGAAAAAAATGTAGAAGTAAATCTTCATGATCCTAGGTTAGGATCATGCACTTATTCCTCCATGATACCTGTTATATGTTACAACATGGATGGACCTTGAAACATACTATGTAAATGAAGCTAGCCAAAAAAACACATATTCTATGACTTCATTATATAAAATGTCCAGAACAGGCAAATCTAAAGAGACAGCAATGATTTCCTGGGCCTGGAGGGTTGCAGGGAACAGAGAGTGACTACTAATGGGTACAAGGTTTCTATTAGAGGTAATAAAATGTTCTAAAATGGTAGTAGTAGTTATAACTCTCATTATACTAAAAACCATTTGATTTTATACTTTAGATCTGTAAATTTTATAGTATATGAATTATATATGATACATTATACTTCAGTGAAGCTATTTTTTAAAAAAAGGAATTCAGAAGGAGAAAATGGAGTATAAGATATAAGTAATATTGAAAAAATGTAATGGCTGAGAATTTTCCACGGGTATTGAAATACATGAATCAATCAAGAAGCACATAAGTCCTAAGTAGGAAAACTAAACCAAAGCCATCCCTAGAATAACATAGTGAAACTGCACAACACTAAAGACAAAGAGATGATCTTAGAAAGAGTCAAAGAGAGAAAAAAATAGAAGAATTACCAACAATGGAAATACAGGTTAGCAATAGGCTTTTCAGCATCAACAACAGAATCCAGAAGATAATGGTATAATATTTCCAACACGCTGAAGGAAAATAGCTGCCAACCTAGAATTTTATACAAACTAAACCATCATGTAAGAGTGACCACTAAGAAAAGACATTTTCAGAAAATAACAGAGAAGTTGTCACTTATAGATTCTTAGTCTGCTGTGTGTTGCTACAGCAGAATTCCACACACTGGATAATTTATAAAGAAAATAAATTTATTTCTCCAGTTCTAGAGACTGGGAAGGCCACTATCAAGATGCTGGTATCTGATGGGGGCCTTCATGCTGCATTGTCCCATGGTAGAAGGTGTAAATGCAAGAGAGCATGACAGCCAGAGAGCAAAAGGAGGCCAAACTCATTTTATAACAAGTCCACTCTCATGATAACTACCCCCCTCCCATGATAAAATGACATTAATCCATTGATGAAGGCAGGGTTCTCATGGCCTAATCACTACTTGACCATTAAGTAGTAGTGAATGGTTTAAGTAGTAGTGAATGGTTGGAGGTGTCATTCAAACCATAGCAAATGCTATAAAAACTACCAAAGAATGTATTTCAGAAAATAAAAAGTTAAAACCAGAAAGGACGAATAAAGTCCAAGAAACACTGCAAACAAATAAACTGGTAACCATGTAGATAATTCTAAATAATAATAATAATGACCAAATTTTGGAGCATAAAAATAAGGTAAGATTGAACATGGCGACTCACATCTACAATCCTAGCACTTTCAGAGGCCAAGGTGAAAGAATCGCTTGAGCCCAGGAGTTCACGACCAGCCTGGGCATCATAGAAAGACCCTCGTCTCTACAAAAAAAAAAATTAATTAGCTACACATGGTGGCATATGCCTGTAGTCCCATTACTCAGGAGGCTGTGACAGGCAGATAGGTTGAGACAAGGAAGGTGAAGCTGCAGTGAGCTATGATCATGCCACTGCACTCCAGCCTGGGCAACAGATCAAGATCCTGTCAATAAATAAATAAATAATAAAATAAACCAAGATAAAAAAGTAAAGTAAAGAACATAAACAAAAATTTCTGACAGGGCACAGTGGCTCACACCTGTAATCCCTACACTTTGGGAGGCCAACACAGAGAATCCCTTGAGCCCAGGATTTTAAGACCAGCCTAAGCAACATAGAGAGACCTTGTCTCTACAAAAATAAAAAGTAAAAAATTAGCCAGACATGGTGGCATGCATGTGTGGTCCCAGCTACTTCGGAGACTGAGGCAGGAGGGTCACTTGAGGTTAGGATCCTCAGGATCTGGGAGGTTAAGGCTGCAGTGGGCCATTGTATTAATCCATTCTCACACAGCTATAAAGAAATACCTGAGACTAGGTAATTTACAAAGAAAAGAAGTTTAATTACCTCACAGTTCTGCAGGCTGTATAGGAAGCATAGAGGCTTCTGCTTCTAGGGAAGCCTCAGGTAGCTTCCAATCATGGTGGAAGGCAAAGGTGCAGCGAGGTGTCTCACATGGTGGGAGAAGAAGCAAGGGAGTGGGGGAGGTTCTACACACCTTTAAACAACCAGATCTTGTGAGAACTCACTCACCGTTGTGACAACAGTACCAAGGGGGATGGTATTAAACCATTCATGAGAAACTGCCCCCATGATTCAATCACCTCCCACCAGGCCCCACCTCCAACATTTGGAATTACAATTCAACATGAGACTTGGGCAAGGACAACATCCAAACTGTATCGGCTATGATTACACCACTGCACTCCAGCCTGGGTAACAGAGTTAGATCCTGTCTCTTAAAAACAAAAAACAAAAACATCTTCTATGGATCTTGTTTTTATGCAAGAAGAAAGAGATTAAATTAGATAGTGCTAAGTCAAGTGTGCACATTTAAAAATTAAGAACACATATTAAAAGGGGGAACAAAGAAAACAAGATCAATCCACAGGTGTCAGGAACTGAGGAAACAATAAGCAACAAAAAAAAATCATCCTTAATGGAAAGGACAAAGTAAGATTTTTAAAATAAGTCCAAAAAGTCAGTAATAAAATTACATGTAAATAGATTAAACCCTATTTCTCCTCATCAGACATAGAGTGCCCTCACCACCTTATCCAAAAGTTTCCACTTCCTATTCCCTTTCCTTGCTTTATATTTCCTCTCAGCACTTATTGCTTGACACAGTCATGCTTGTTTGCCTCTTTTTATTGTCTGTCTTCTTCCACTTGAAAGTAGGCTTCTTAGAGCAGGTCTTTGTTTTGTTCAGTGCTCTGCCCAACAGGCACCATCGTAAGCATTCAATGATTATACATTGGATTGAATTGATTTATAGAGAAGACACATGAATGACCAATAAAAAGATTTTTTAAATATTTAATTTCACTAGAAACTTTAAAATTATGAAGTGAGACAAGCTAGATTATACCCACATTTCATTGGCAACATTGCCTTGTCACACTAGATGGCCAATTGCAGGTCATCATGTCATGGTGAATTTTACAGCCAGCGTATCTTGCCAAGTCAGTAAGCTAAGTAGTGCCAACTGAAAAATCACAAGATTAATAAAGTTGGAAAGGAGAGCTTTATTTCTCATAAAAGGCTGCAGCCTCCAGGCTGACCATCCTGCAAGCTGGGAAGCGTAGCCTCTGGCAGAAGCCAAGAGTAAGCATTTTGAGGGAGGGAAATGTGAGAAAGGAATGTATGCTGAGTGAGGTGGCCAAATGCACTATTTAATAAGCTACAGGAGGAGTCATGAATATTTATGAAAAGACAAATGTAAGCATGTGCAATTGAGCTTCATGCCTCTTCATGGGTCGCATGTTCACAAATGGTGGCATTAGCATGATCCAAGGATGGAGTTTTTGGCCCTCTGATGTTGAAAGGTGAGGCAGAGGATGTGAAAACCCTCACCGCACATCCTCTGTAGACTGGCCAGACCACTCCATGGTTGGTGGTCTCTTATCAGGAAGGAATGCCAGCCAGTTGGTTGCTGTGTTGAAACTGCAAAAGGCGGGAGGAAGGAATCCAGTCACAGCTTCAGATGATGGGCTAAAGGTGATAAAGGAATGATTCATCTGTTTCTTATTTTCCAGAGCTGGTTTCTGCTTACTCCTTAGGAAAGAATTCTGGTTAAAAGTTAATAAGGAGGGGGCATACTGAGGCATGTCTGACCTCCCATCCTGTCATGGTCAGGGACTCTGTTTTTTTCTTTCTTTCCTTCTTTTTTCTTTTTCTTATTATACTTTAAGTTCTGGAATATATGTGCAGAACGTGCAGGTTTTTTACATAGGTGTACATGTGCCATGGTGGTTTGCTCCACCCATCAGCCCATCATCTATATTAGGTATTTCTCCTAATGCTATCCCTCCCCTAGCCCCCCACCCCCCAAAAGGCCCCAGTGTGTGATGATCCCCTCCCTGTGTCCACGTGTTCTCATTGTTCAACTCCCACTTATGAGTGAGAACATGCGGTGTTTGGTTTTCTGTTCCTGTGTTAGTTTGCTGAGAATGATGGTTTCCAGCTTCATCCTTGTCCCTGCAAAGGACATGAACACAACCTTTTTTATGGCTGCATAGTATTCCATGGTATATATGTGCCACATTTTCTTTATCCAGTCTATCATTATTGGGCATTTGGGTTGATTCCAGGCCTTTGCTATTGTGAACATTGCTGCAATAAACATACATGTGACTCTGTTTTTAAGGTTTCTCTTCGGTCCCCTTGGCCAAGACAGAGTCCGTTCAGTCAGCTGGGGGACTTAGGATTTTAGTTTTATTTCTCAGTGGTAACACTGACCCTTCCCAGATACTTCAGAAGAGCAATTTGGCTTTGTCCTGAGAAAAAGTGATCTCCCTGACACTCCTTTCTTTTATCCTCCAAGGAGAGCACCATGGCAGAGATAAGAACTAAGGACTGTTTTCCCTAGACCCATGTTTTCCGCTGACACAACATCAAACATAGAAACAAGTTTTGCTTAATATTTTATAAATTGAACACTAAAAACAAAGTGTATTTACTGTGTTGAGAACTTTGACCTCTCACTCACAAAGCATGCAACTGGGTATTTGGGAGGCACTGTTCCTGGTGAAGGTAGCTGAGAGGTAACTATCAGTGGACAGTAATCCCAGCATGTGTGGAGAACTGCCGGGATAAATTGAACAAGGGCGGTTTTCATGAGGCATGCAGGTAGCTCCAGGGAATGAACTCTCCCTGAGGAAAGAGAGAATAGAGTCCACAAACTGGGTCTAAGACATTCTGAGCAGAGGATGGAGTATCACTCAGACGGTCTTCCAAGGTCTCCTGTCTAAGCTGCAGCAGCATCAACAACAAAGGAGTAGATATTAAGTGAACTAGAATATGAGAGCACAAGAATTTAAGACTGGCCAGGTGCAGTGGCTCACACTTGTAATCCCAGCAATTTGGGAGGCTGAAGTAGGCAGATCACTTCAGCCCAGGAGTTCAAGACCAGCATGGATAACCCAGCGAAACCCCTCTCTACAAATAATACAAAAATTGGCCATGCATGGTGGTGCATGCCTGTAGTCCCATGTACTCAAGAGGCTAAAGTGGGAGGATAGCCTGAGCCTGGGAAGTTCAAGGCTGCAGTGAGCCGTGATCATGCCGCTGCACTCCAGCTGGGGTGACAGAGTGAGACTCTGTCTCCAAAAAAAAAAAAAAAAAAAATTTAAGAATTTAAGACTGACATGTGATGATGGAACCGGCATCATCACAGCAGGGGAGATAGTATCAGCTTCATCTCAAGGAGAGAAGACATAATTAGCAGATTGGTTAATCTGGGAATAATCTGCAGACTGAGGGAGTGGCCTTGGCACAAACCACAGCATGCACAGTGATGGGAGCCATTAACCTTGGTTAGACATCAGCAGGCACCAGTAGGGGCCAGGCACCAGTACCGTGGTCACTGTTAGCATTTGCAAACACCTGACTTGTAATATCCTAATTTGATTCTAAATAACTTTGAGGGGGAGGGTCCCGAAATTCATATGTAGTTCCCATGGTTAAACAATTCAAGTGAGAAAAGAAACACTTTCAAAATAGGTTGGGTATTGCTCAAATATGGAAGATGGCAAGGTGGTGCTTTTTAGTATTGAGTTATTCAGTATTTCACAAAGGAGAGTTTCAGAGATGTTTTGAGCACTAACAGCATTGTGTCTCCCCAGGAGGATGTATAAGCTCTGGGTGCTTGTTTGAAATCAATTTTGTCCTCTCATAATCACACCTCATGTGTAACTGACAAGCAGAGAGTGAACTCTGGGTTCAGTCCTGCCATTGATTCTTCCTCACTGTGAGGAAGAGAAAAAATTAGTAGCACAATTCCTGGCATTTGGTAGGTGTTCAATAAATATTAACTTCTGTCATCCCTGCTAGGGACTTAAAAGAATGAGTGGAACTGTCTAGAGATGCTCACCGTTGCATTTTACTGAGTAAGGTCCCATGAGAAATATGTTTATCATATTCAGACGAGGCCTCTTGTCCTAGTGATCCTACTTGTTTTATGCTGGCCTAAGTGGATGCTGGGACTCACTGTGCTTAATGAATGTTAATGAAGGTGATGAAGACCTTTTAGGAGATGATTAACCTATAAAGTCCTCCTTCTGCTTTCAAGTGGCTTTATAAGAAGCACACAGAGAGTCAACACTTTGAAAAGAATGAATACAAATGAGAATCATGTCTGCTTTGCAAGAGGAAAGTTTATTAGGCGATTTGGGGAACTGCAATAAAGGTAGAAGCAGCAGAGAGAACAAAACACCTCGTATGCCACTGTCACAGCTCCAACCTCTGACCATCAGAACTCAGACTGACTACAGGAGAGGGACCTGGGGTGAGGAGGATCAAGTAGCCCTAGGCTCAGAGTCAGACCCAAACGCTGGGCATTTGTTCTCCTTCCAGACCATGATTTGTGGTGATGCCTCGGGGTGGGGTCCGGTGGCTGATGGTTGTCAGAGAGGCAGAACTGGCCCACCGATGGTAGTTCTGTCTTCATGCTATACTTCTGCTGGCCCCAGGGTATCTAGTACCCAAAGGTGTTGCAAGGCCCACAGCGGGAACGAGGACCACAAGGATTGGTGACACAGGATCCAATGGGCTTTTCACATGCATTGGTGGTGGCGCAGGGGTTGGAGGGCAGCCTGGGATGCAGAAGCATTAGACTGTCAGCATGAGAAGGGTGATTCAAACAAGGGAGACTCAATCCAAAGAGACACAGAAACAAGCAGAACCCGTTCTCTGATGTCCTAGGAAGCCATGCCTTGTTTGGATCACTCCTTCTACAGAGTTCTGATACAGTGGCAGAAATGAGCAAAGAACATGTAAGGTGGAATCCCAGCCTTCCTTGTATGACCCTAGACACACAAGAAAGTCACTTCCTCCTTCTAAGCCTCAGCTTTCCCACCTGTAAGGTAGGACTGGTAGTACCAACCACACAGGATTATGAAAATTCCACAAGACTGTGTTCATAAAAATATTATGTTCGCTGGCAACTGCTGTACTGTTAGTTATTGATCATCAACCCTATTGACACTCAAATGCTCATCTATAAGAAGGTGATAATGATTCCCACTCTGCCTGCCTCAGATGATTCTAACAAGAATTAATGAAACGGTGGATTTGAAAGTTCTGTTTAAATCAGAAAAAGTGATCATTGTTACAGTTTCATTTTCCTTTTTGTGGTGACAAGACAGTCCTGAAGACAGAAAGATTTATTTGGCCATCAACATCCAAAAAATCTCTACTGGAGGAAGGAGTCAAGTCCCATGACTATCTTTTGTAAAAGAAAGTATCTTTAGCCCAGATAATGTTAGCAACAAATATCCTACACTTCCCACGGCTGTAATATAAAACTCTCGCCTCTACAGACAGATTGGCATCTGAAACTTGATTTTCAAAGTCTCTGTTTTATCCTACAGTAGAACAGTGCCTGTCCCTTGCAGGGGTGCCGTCCGCCAGGTACTCACTTGCAGTCCTCGCTCTCCAGCAGGCTCCGGTATGTGTTGATCTCACACTCCAGCCGCGCCCGCACGTCCAGCAGCACCTGATACTCCTGGTTCTGCCGCTCCAGGTCACTGCGGATCTCCGCCAGCTGGGACTCCACGTTGGTGATCAGGCTCTGCACCTGGGACAGCTGGGAGCTGTAGCGGGCCTCGCTCTCTGTCAGCGTGTTTTCCAGAGAGTATCGCTGTGGTGGGAAAGATCAGGAATGTCAGAGAGCTGCTCCTTATAGGGTTCCTCCATGGGGTTCGAAAAAACTCACAAGCTCCAAGAGCTAAGAAGAGTGTGTGGCCCCAAGGGCATCCCCAAGACTCTGCCTCCCAAGTTCCCATCGCTCACCAGCAGGTCTGAACAATACACACCAGGTTGTGCTGGGCCTGCAGCTCGATCTCCAGGGCATTGACTGTGCGTCTCAGCTCGATGATCTCCGCCTGGTAGGACTGCAGCTGCTCCGAGCTGGATACCACCTGCTTGTTCAGCTCCTCGGTCTGAAACACCCAAGGGGAGAAAGGATCAGACCCTGCCTCCGGGGCCCTGGGGGGCCTCGGGTCCTGAGTGGCCACGTGCTTAGATGCCCACCTGCGTGGCGAACCATTGCTCCACTTCCCTGCGGTTGGTTTCCACCAGGGCCTCATACTGATTCCTGGTCTCGTTCAGGACCTGGTTCAGGTCCACAGCGGGAGCAGCGTCCACCTCCACGTTGAGGCGGTCTCCAAGCTGGCAGCGCAAGGTGTTGACTTCCTAATGGAGAAAAGGGAAGAAATAAACCCACAGAAAGAAGTCTTTCAATAACTTCTTTGAGGCAGTTCAATATAATGGGAAGAGGATTGCATTGCAGCTTAGGAAACATGAGTTGAAGCCCAGCTGTCACCTCTGGAAATTCTGGCCTCTTCTCTGAATCCCTTCCCTCATCTGTATGATACGGCTGCTTCATTAAATGATTGCTAATATTTCTACCCAGTCCAAGATTCTATCATTTCTTTCTTATTTCCCCTTTGCTCAGTGATAAGCCTGGCATGATAATTGGCTTACAATTGTTGCTACTTAAATATAGAGAAACCAGGTTTCATTCCTCCTATTTATTTCATGGGATACTACTAGAGTATGACACATGTTTTCATCATGAAAACGTCTAATGTTTGAGACATGCATCTGATTTCGTAGTATTGCATTCAGCCATGAGATCTGAATCAACCATTATTTGAGTTATTTCATTTCTCCCGTTTTTCCCATCCATCAGTTCATCCATCCATCCATTCATCCATCTATCCATTTATCTAGCTTGAGTTCTAGTTATCTAGGTGAAACAGAGTGTAAGAATGTTTTCTATCTCCTTCCAGTCTTGGTCATTAACCTACCTGGCACCTCTTCAGAAGCTAATAGATAGCATCAAACAGTAGACAGTAGTTTAAAGATATTTGTGTGACCTTTCAGCCATACATGTCTGGTCCCAAGGGGAAGTAGGTCAGCTTACCACACTCCTTTATGTAAAAAAGGTAAGCTGTCACTCATTCCCCAACAAGCCCCAAAGTATGTTTTGAGCAACCAGCAAAATGTTGTTAGGCCTAGGGTGCTTAGCAAATCAAATCCTACCTTATCCTATTCAGGGGGATCACAGAGCTCTCAGTATTGGGATATTGGGGGCTGGGACTCTTACCTGCTCATGGTTCTGCTTGAGGGACAGCAGCTCCTCCTTCAGGGACTCCATCTGGGCCTCCAGGTCAGACCTGCACAGGGTCAGCTCATCCAGAATCCTGCGCAGGCTGTTGATGTCGGACTCCACCAGCTGCCGCAGGGACTGCTCCGTCTGGTACCTGCACACACAGCCAGAGGTCAAAAGAGGTCCAAAAAAAAAAAGTCTTTGTTTCCCGGCCTTTACTTGGCTGACTTAGTCAATTTTATTATATTTTGAAATATTTTGAATTTAAAAAATTAAGGGAGAAAATACTCCTGTACTGAGTGAGAAGGCCTATTTTGTCACTGAGACACACAGAAAAGGTATTGGTGGAATGCCTGTGGATAGTTTAGTCTAACACAAACTAAGTTTGTTCTAAGACTCTCGTTTACAAGTTACTATCAACTAAGCCCTGCTGCTTTTGCCATCTCAAGTGAATCAGTGCCCTTCATAAGCCTGCTCCAGGTTGTCCTGTCATCCTTTCCAGCCTTGCCAAGAAGCAATCTAGTGTTGTGGAAGAAACACTGAATTCAGAGTTAGAGCCAGTATTCTCATTAAATGACTGTAGATAGATACCTTTATCTCTCTGAGGCTTGATTTCCTTAACTGTAAAATGAAGACAAAACTAACACCTTATAGGGTTGGACTGAAGATGATATATGTAAAATTATGTTGTAAAATGTAAGATCCCAGGAAAATGCAAAGGATTCTCATGATTGTAATAATGGTCATACCTAAAAGTATTGATTGATTCTCTGAAAGGCAATGGATTTTGCCTCCTGTTTTTGTGGTTTAATAACTTCTTTTTGGGGGGTTGACAGTGACTAACGTATACAAAGAGACCAATGTGAAAATCACTTTCAAACTTACTCCAGACGTTGGGTTGAAAAGGAGTAAGAATGGATGGTGTCTTACAATCAAACTTAAAGCACAGGGCTGCGCACAGTGGCTCACGCCTGTAATCCCAGCAGTTTGGGAGGCTGAGGCGGGTGGATCACTTGAGGTCAGGAGTTCAAGACCAGCCTGACCAACATGGTAAAACCCGGTCTCCACTAAAAATATAAAAATTAGCTGGGCCTGCTGGCGCATGCCTGTAATCCCAGCTACGAGGAAGGCTGAGGCAGGAAAATCACTTGAATCCGGGAGGCGGAGGTTGCAGTGAGCCAAGATTGCATCACTGCACTCCAGCCTGGATGAGAGAGGGAGACTCCATCTCAAAATAAAAAAATTAAAAAAAAAAACTTAAAACACAGAATCTGAGCACCTATTGAAGAGGCTTTGACATTTAACCTAATCCTAACCCAATGCAAGAATCCTCCCAATAGAAATTTCTGCTTCCACATTCCAGGATAGGGAGCTCATCACTTTGTAATTCAGCCTGTCCGTTACTAGACTGCTCTGATGGTTAGGAAAATCTTACTTGGTTCTGAAGTCATCTGCAGCCAGCTTGGCATTGTCGATCTGCACCACCAGCCTGGCATTCTCAGACTTGCTGCACAGGATCTGGGGATAGGATTAATCATGAAATGGGTTATACTAAGAAATGCCTTGTGCCTTAAAGTGAAATGCTATTTTCTTTCAGCCACATTCCTCCCAAATAGCTTTGAGTCCTTTCAGATTTTCAGCTCTGAGATAAAAGGAGGATTTGATCATAAAACTGATCATTTCAAAACCAGGACAACCAATGTGAATTCATCATGAATTCTATTCTTATCTGCTTCTGGCTTCCTGCAATAATTAGGTTACTGGGTATCCAACCCTTCGGTTGGGTGACCAACCATCCCAGTTAACTTAGGACTGAGGGGTTTCTGGGATGCTAAAATGGGAAAAATCCCAGGCAAGCCAGAACAACTTGGTTATCCAACACATTCCACCTGCTAACTTCTCTCCACTCTCCCCTCATATTGCCCTTGTTCATGCCTTTGCAAAAAGCTTCTTGCTGTACCCAGAATGCCCTCACCCACTAGCAAGACCCCTTGTGTAACCCACATACTTAATCAATAACACTTCTTATGACCTTTGTGTGATCATTTTGTTTCCACATCTATCTCCCCTGTTAGACTGTGAGCTCCTGAAGGAAGGAGACTGTCTTACTCAGTACATTATCCCCCACCCCAGCACTGTGCCTAACACTCTCCAACTCTGGGTAAATAAATGAATGATATTCAAATAGCACAACCCCTTTCTGGCATCTAATTTTCCAGATCTACAGAACAGTGGGCAGTCAATTCCCTCCCAGAATCAAGGGCTTGTACAATTGGATATAAACTCCCACTCATCCTTCAAACCCCACTCAGACATTGCCTCTTCTGGGATCCCTCCCAAACCTACACCAGGTATTCAGTCCCAATTCTCTGTGGACTCTTTACTTATATCTACTTCTCTTCCAGAACAGATGGCCCCATATTGTCATCTGTACACATGGCTGCTCTAGAGGATGGTCCATGTGTCTGTAGATATTGCTGGAGTCAACAGCTCTCTTGTGTTGCCATAAATGCTATATTTTGCTACAGCTTTGAAAGGCTTTAAATATTTGAAGATTTACTTAGGAAATTCTTAGCATAGAAAATAATTCAGGTGCATACTTTTTGAAAATGCGGTAATGCTCTGAAAACAAAACCAGGGTATCATAATCAAACCAAAAAATCAGATATTCTGGTTTGGAGTAAGACGCCATATAAGATTGCTATGACTGATTTTGGTCTAATGCTTCACTCTAACACCAGCCTGCATCCTTCCTTTGTGGCTCTACAACAGATTTTCTAAGACTACTTGATGTCATACCTAAGCCAGTGAATCTATGTCTTTATCATTCTCAGCATTACTGTGAACAGACTTAGATCCATTCACAGTTTAGTATGTCAAATATAGATAAGTAGTTCATTAAGCTGGCAGTGTGGTGCCCACCTCCTCACCTTCTGCTGGAGCTCCTCAATGGTCTTGAAGTAGGACTGGTAGCTGGGGCACAGCAAGGGCTCCTGCTGCTGAGACCGCTCCCGGATGAGGTTCTCCAGCTCCGCGTTGTCCCGCTCCAGCTGACGCACCTTCTCCAGGTAGCTGGCCAGGCGGTCGTTCAGGAACTGCATAGTCTCCTTCTCGCTGCCATTGAAGGAGCCCTCGCAGAACCAGTTGCAGTTGCTCACATTGGCAGGGATGTTGCAGGCCCCGGGCAGGGTGTAGCCGTGGCAGCTGGGGGGCACACAGGGCCGGGAGGAGCAGCTGGTGCGGCAGCTCAGGCTGGGCAGGCAGAAGTTGTAGGGCATGGTGCAGGGAGGCAGTGGAGCTCTGGAAGTCAGTTTCAAAACCTGATTCCTTTTCCCTGGGATAAGCCTTGGTCCTTTCCAGGGCTTTATATTCTGTTAGCAGTGGGTGTGGCAACCATGTCAAGTATTCCTCCTTTTTACCTCCTTTGCTGATTTTTCCATTTGTTATTTAGCCACTTCACCTGAGTCCTATACCTCATTAAATGTTTTACTCTGGCTTCTTGCTAAGTCAGGACTCCTCACAAAACATGCTGATTGGTTAAGTAAGAGCTTCATGGTTTGGCTTCAAAGTGACCAACCTTGCCTGTAGCAGTGCTTATCCATGGGACATTGAGCTAGAGTGACAGCTGGGCCCTGTCCCCAGAGTAGGGGGCACATATGTGCCTCTTTCTCCTAAATGAGGAAAGGCTTGTGTCTCATCCAGTTCATATTCAATTAAGACTCTGTGAGAAAAGCCATGTAAGGAAACCCGTCTAGAAACTAGACTATGTGATAGGGAATCCTGGAAGCTGAAATGAGAAAGGACTTACAAGGCCATTGGTTCAAGGCCCATTTGCAGTTCCATCCAGGCAGATGGAGGCAACTCTACCCTCTTCCTATGGGGCTGCAGGAAGCCACCCACCTCCGTTTCTACTAGTATTCAGTGTTCACAGAACATTAAGAAACCTAAATTTTGGGAGCACCTACTCTGCATGAAGCACTGTGCTCCATGCCTGTGCACAGCGTGACTCTGTCATTGGTGATGGGTCCTGCTTGCTGAGCCTCCACTGTGCACCAGGCACAGTGCCAGGCACCTCATATGCACCAGCTCCTTCAGTCCTCTCAAAATGCTGCAAGGGTTTGTAGATAAGGACCCTAAGCCTCTGAGAGGTCTCCCAAGGTCACAGAGCTCCTACATGATGGAGCCAGGGTTCAAATACAGATCTCTCTAATTCCAATGTCCACACTCTGTCATATTACATGTCTCTCTCTTCCAATCTTTTCAGTACTGAGATGCAATAATGCAAAAAATACAGATTGAGCTCCATTGAGCTCAATCAGTGCTGACAATATCCTAAATTAGAATGGGCCAAAAAATAACAAGCCTGTTTTTTACTTATTAAAGAACCAAAAGTCACTTCTATGCTGAAGGAAGGAAGTTTACTAAGTGAAAATGCCTTATACCCACTAGAAGCTTGAAAAAAAAAAAAAAGGAAACCCTTGGTTGATCTGAGGGAGAAATACCCAAGCCTAGCTCTCCAAAGGATATGACCCTGAAAATCCACCACTATGTCATGTGCATGAAGTGGCATTTTATGACCATTGGCACATTTTGGCAAGCAGATGCTCTACTCTCATGCATTCCAGATGGAACTATGAAATATGAGGATTTTATGTTTAATCTATCAGTGCTCAAATTCTGAAAGATACTCCTCCAAGTTGTTCCTTTTGGAAGCTACATATTAAGTCTTGCCATACAAGAATTCTTTTCCTACAGGTGACCTGCCATTCCTCAGATCACCCTTCCTTCAAACTTGCCTTCACAGCTTGGGACACATTCTTTTGGTTATCCTCATTGAAGGCCAATCTTCATCTTCTATGGGTGTGTTTATTTTTGGAACCAGCCAGAAGTCATTTGAAACCACACCTAGTGCATAGGGTGAATAACCAAGCTGCATAGCATCTTTAATGGGTCAGAAACAGGTTGTGACTACAAAATAATAATGTGTGTTTTCTTGGGTGACTCTGGAAGTCATTTCCAAGGAGAAGCTTCAAATATGCTTTTATAAAGGACAGCAGCTTTGGGGCAAACATGTGGTCTTCCAGGGTGAATGCATTGAAGGTACTGATATCCTCCCCTACAATCACAATCCACAACTTTCCGCCCCTCCTGCCTGAATCTCTAATTTTTTTTTTTTTTTTTTTTTTTTGGAGACAGAGTCTCACTCTATTGCTCTATTGCCCAGGCTACAGTGCAGTGGTGCAATCTCAGCTCACTGCAACCTCCGCCTCCCAGGTTCAAGCTATTCTCCTGTCTCACCCTCCCTAGTAGCTGGGATTAGAGGCGTGCACCACCTGTAATGTGCCTGGCTAATTTTTGTATTTTTAGTAGAGACAGGGTTTCACTATGTTGGGCAGGCTGGTCTCAATCTCCTGACCTCAGGTGATCCACCCGCCTCAGCCTCCCAAAGTGCTGGGATTACAGGAGTGAGCCACTGCACCCGGCCTGAATCTCTACCTTTAAAATGATTCCACTATCAGTGAGATGTGGCATGGGCATATTGGTTTAAAATCAGTACCAAACCATTAAAGTCCTATTGGATGAGATCAAATAACATAAAGCAAATAGCTGAATTCATTAGCTTTTCTCTAATTACCTTGTGTTCTTCTCTCCTTCTTCTACGTCCCAAGCTTCAAAAGGAAAAATCTGACAATGGCACTTTTTAAAGAAAAGGGAAGGAATAGTGTGTCACAGACTGGTAAATATGTCCACAGGGATCCCTATAACCATTGCTGTAGCTTCTACCTCAGTCACAGTGGAATAATCCAGAGATAAGTATCCTTGTGTCTTTAAAAGTGGAGGTCAGAGTTTAGAAAACACAACTATTCCCACATCTTGAGTAGAAGTAACTATAATTTCTGCACAGCTACTTGGCCATTATGTACTAATAGTTGGAAGAACTTGGGTCTATGGAGAAAAGAGCCAAGTTTCAATTAGCTTCTCACAAAGTCTGGAAGGCAATTGCTTTTTACTTACTCCACTTGCTGTGTACTGTGAATTCTTATCTTTACATGGGTGATGCTATTGTCTCTGTTCAATGGCCCTTCATTAAACATGACAAGTAAGTCAAATCCTAACAAACCGAAAGGTTTTATACATGCCCATGTAATAGCGGCAGATGCTATGGTTGAGGCTTCTGGTCTTAAGATGTGAGCAAATTGCAGTTGAGGTTTAAGGATGCTATTTATTATGGAAGCCCGGGCTATTTCCATAGAAGAGATCACATGCCAACCCACCAGCGATGCTTAACCACGGAGTGGACATAGGATGGGGCTTCTGCTGAGGCCACCTTCCTCATTGTGGGACTTCAAAGGCATTAGGAGGCCTCCCTCCTTCTTCCCAAAGCCATCTTCTCCAATGTCCAGGCTCTGGTGCTTGAAATTGTCACCGTGAGAAATGTAAAATTTATTCTTTTAGAAATACGAAGTTACATTGGGCTACTTGAAAATTAATTATATTTTAATATGTACAAATGAGAAGGAGAGGCCAGGAGCAGTATCACTACATGCACACAGAGCAAGAAGATGGACTTTTTGCCAAAGAGGGATCCCAGAGGGGAATTAGAAAAGCAGAAAGACTGTCCAATAACAACCCCAGCCCATGGTTTTGGGCCAGCCTGTTAGAGCTTCCTAGAAGAGCAGAAGATAGGGCTTCCACAAACTGTTCCATAAAGGCAACTGTTGTCAATTTATCAATCCTCCAGCCTCAGGACATTGAGAGGAGAAATTGAAGGGGTAATTCAGGAAATAAGCCAACAAGTTTGGCCCTGTTCAATGGGGCTTCTGATAAGGGACAAGCAGGAGAGGGGCTGAAGAATGAGCCAGGTCAGCAGTAAGCTACGCTGAGCAAAAACAGATACAAACACCTCAAAATGGAACTCAGGAGGTAGTTCTACAAATCCTCTCCAGAGCCACCATGTTTCTCTTACACTCAGTCTTGGACTCCCAATGGGAATGGAGTCTTGGAGTCTTCAGGGACCAAGCCAAGTCAGAAAAATACAAAGTTCATCTATGCTATGTGTTTTTTTTTAACTTTTATTTTAAGTTGAGGGATACAAGTGCAGGTTTGTTACATAGATAAACTTGTGTCATGGGAGTTTGTTTTACAGATTATTTCATCACCCAGGTATTAAGCCTAGTACCCATTAGTTATTTTTCCTGATCCTCTCCCTCCTCCCACCCTCTACCCTCCAGAAGGCTCCAGTGTGTGTTGTTCCCCTCTATATGTCCACGTGTTCTCATCATTCAGCTCCCACGAGATCTATGCTATGTTTTTGACTACTCTAGACTATCAGCTCAGTCTAGAATAGACAAGAGCATGACACAATCCAGGACGATGTAATTTAATGGTGCTAGTCTTCCTGAAAAAGCTGGATCCAGGGCCCACTCAGAGATGGAATGAAAACCTATATATGTGTCCTGCTCTGCAGATCAAGGGAGAGGGCAGATGCTAAAACCTTTTGACAGTACACAGAAGATAAAGCAAAGTCAGCTGAGTACAAATGTGTTGTGTTGAACTTTTGCATTACACTCACTATCACGTTGGTGATTTGAGACAGACATGAAAAAAACATGGAAATACAGCTTCTTCCCTCAGCCTCCCACAGACTCTGTTCTCTTTATAATCACCAGGAGTCTCCCCATTGCTTTAACCAGTAGATTTGTCTGATTCTCACCATCCTTGCCCTGGATGCTGTTGACAACTCTTTCATTAGAGCTCCAACTTCTTTTGACTTCTGTGTCCTTTAAGGTGCTTCTCCACTTCCCTCTCAAACTGCTTGCAACCAGATGTCATCTCTGTCCTCAAGATCTGGCAAAACCAAGGCTGAACCTCACATCAGGGACTCTGGAGAGCCCCAGCTGAAGTCTGTGGTTTCTATCAGTGGTCCTCAAGGTTCTTCTATTCCCTGCTAGCCTCCATTGGACAGTCTTAACAATTCCTATAGCTCTAATTATCATCTTTATTTACCCAGCTCTCCGACATCTCCCTCAAATCTAGTTATTCTTCTCCAGGTCTCTCCAATGGAAACTCATTGTTGTTTCATTTTCTCAGGCTGAAAATCTTCAGACCCATAGTAGGTGTTTGTGATGGTTAATTTAATGTATCAACTTGACTGGGCCAAGGGATGCCCAGATAGCTGGTAAAACATTATTTCTGGGTATGTGTGTAAAGGTGTTTCTAAAAGAGATCAGCATTTG
Organism: Homo sapiens; assembly: GCF_000001405.40. NCBI lineage: Eukaryota > Metazoa > Chordata > Mammalia > Primates > Hominidae > Homo > Homo sapiens. Next base: position 65,551 of record NW_003315953.2, on the reverse strand, counting down.
AATCAGGAGAGTGAGTAAAGATCACCCTCACCAATGTGGGCAGGTGTCCTCCAATGTGGGTAGTCAAATAGAACCAAAAAGTAGAAGAAAGGCAAATTATTTCTCTCATTGACCGGTAAGGGAGAAGCAGGAGAGGGTCTGGAGAATAGGCCAGGTCAGTAGTAAGCTATGCTGAGCAAAGACAGACACGGACACCTCAAAACGGAACTCGGGATCTAGTTCCACAAACCCTCTCCAGAGCCATCACTGTTTCTCTTACACTCAGTCCTGCACTCCCAATGGGAATAGAGTTGAGCTGGGACATCCATCTTCTCCTGCCCTCTAACATCAATGCTCCCAGTTCTTGAGCCTTCAGTCTCAAACCAGGACTTACACCACCAGCCTTCCTGATTCTCAGTCCTTTGGGTTTGGATTGGAATTATACCACTGGCTTTCCTGGGCCTCCACCTTGAAGACAGCAGATTATGAAACTTCTCAGCCTCCATAATCATATAAGCTAATTCCTTATAATAAATCTCTTTCTATGTATCTATACATAGCCTACTGTTTCTGTTTCTCTGGATAACCCTAATACAGTGTGTGATCAGTACTAGTTTCCTTCCTTTTCTTTCCATTGTTCCTCTATCTCTACTCAGCTTCCATATTTAAGCCATGCCTCTAAAACCTACCCCTCTTTGGCCTCACTCTCCTCCACTTATCTCAGTCCTTATTGTCTCTCACCTCTTAATTGATCTTCCTTCTATTTCATCCAGCTTCTAGGACTCCTCACAACCCAACCTGTACACAGCTGCCAGATATATCATATGGCAAACTCCCTTACAAGAAAATCTCATGTATAATCATTCGGAGCACTTCCAAATATGGCCGTACCTAACTACCTTGCAGTTTCATCTCCTATAACCACACTTACCCTCTGTTCTAGGCTAGGGATTGGGTTGTCAATTTCTAAACACACCTCATAACTCCTCCAGGCAAAGTTCATGCTCAGGAAAACTTTCCCTCTTCTTTTTTTTTTTTGAGACAGAGTCTCACTCTATCATCCAGGCTGGAGTGCAGTGGCACGATCTTGGCTCACTGCAACCTCCGCCTCCTGGGTTCAAGCTATTCCCCTGCCTCAGCCTCCTGAGTAGCTGGGACTACAGGTGTGTGCCACCATGCCTGGCTAATTTTTTTTTTTTTTTTTTGTATTTTCAGTACAGATGGGGTTTCACCGTGTTAGCCAGGATGGTCTCAATCTCCTGACCTCGTGATCCACCTGCCTCAGCCTCCCAAAGTGCTGGGATTACAGGCGTGAGCCACTGCACCTGGCCAAAACTTTCCCTCTTCTATGGCCTAAACACACTCACCTGACCAGACATTTCCCAGCAAACTTTATTTCAGAATTATGCTAATATCATACAGTAATCATTGATTGAAGTTGAAACTATGGGAAGTATATAAAGTTTTAATAACCTTCTCATGAATTTTCATTAGTGTTACTCTTCCTTATTTATTCCACTTACAGTATTCCATGGTTTACATCGTCTTTAATTAGGTGATGATATTGCCTCTGCTGAAGGGCCTGCAGTCAACAAGACAGGCAGACAAAATTTATATCAACAGAACATTTGGGTTTTCAAGGCTTTGATTGAGTGCTCCCTCCTTCTTGGAGCCTCTTCTTTTCATTCTCTCACACATCTGAAATTCGTAATTCTTTATCTGCACCTTTCTTGAGCCACACTGATATTTGTCTATGATGACTGTAGCTTTGTCTCATCCACTCTAAACTGTAAAACATGCTGTGGGCCGAGACTGGGATTCACTTATTTGTGTTTCTCAGTACCGCCCACAGTACCCAGCACACACTATAGATGATTGATTGCAGTTGTGTCAATCAGATAGGATTAAATAAAATGGATAATTGAGACTGGCCTATAAAATTGAAAGCTTTAAAAATTCAGGGATGAGGCAAGTGGGGTGGGGTGTGGGGTAAGATTAATGTTTTGGGGGAGATGTTTAATGAACATTGGCCTTTCTTGGAATTATAGAAAATGAAATGATAAAGAGGCTATGGAAGAACATTATGGATAAGACCAAAGATCTAGGGGAAAGAATAAACTTGAAGAGGGGAAAGGTAAGGACTGCATTTAAAGGGTCTATCTGGAGGACAACATGTCAGGCATAACAAGTGGGCGGCAAGATGAACCAGTTTGGGAAAAATACGTTTTAGTCCAATTAAACATGATGTAATGACCTGATACCAAGTGAAGCTGTCATATGCGCAACAGAAAACCTGGAAACTGAGCTGAGATGAGAGGGAGATGTGGCAGTCATCAGCATAGAGGAGCTAGATCTACACGAACAGGGACGTAGAAAGAGAAAGACAGAGGGCTAAGAATATAGGTGTTTCCTTCATTTGGGACAAAAAGGGGAAGACAGCTAACAAGACAACAGAGAACAGGTAATTAGAGATATTACAAGAAGACCCAGAGTGTGCAGGGTTATGGAAATCAATGAAGGTGTATTTTAAGGGAGGAGTAGGTATCTATATCAGCAAGGCAGCAGCAGCAGAGAGGTTGAGAGGAGAGAATCACTGCTCTTTGAACAGTTTCTGTAGAAGCAGTTTCTGTAGTTTCTTCAGGCAGTTTAGGAGAAAGGGAAGCAGAACATTCTATTCTGATGAGGGTGAGAGCTGGAGATAGCAGTGAAGTCTGGGGAGGCTTTGCAAAATTGCCAAGGGCCCTGTAGTCAAGGCAAGGTAAGCATGGGTATTGAAGGCCAGGTTTCCTGCATGGCCTACCCTGGGTGGGAGTCTCCCAGAAGGACGTCCTTCCCTGTCTACATCAGTGTTTCTGGTGAAGCATAAAGGCTTGGCTCAGTCATTTACTTCATTTTATTCTCCTAATGAAGGGGTATTTTTATGAAACAGCCATGATGAGTAATTTACAATGCATGAATATGAATGAGAAACATTTATTATGCCAGAGAAATGAAGTTTATTGGGAAGTAAATGAAGTCTCCTCCTTGCATTCCAGAGAATGCCAAAGAAAAAAGGAAAACAGGAAATGCAGTAGTACGTTCAGGAAACACCTTAAGTAGTAACTGGAGCTCAGATTACAGGGAGCTGAACATCTTTAGAAACAAACAGGCTCGACCCTCAACAGGAAGGAGTTGTCCAGACATTGGAAGTTGATGATGTGTGTCTTTGCTTGGGTCAGGAAAGCTTTTCAGCATTCTAGAAATAACATAGAGGCAAGATGAGGTTTCTTGATGTCAGCTGAGCTCCAGAAAAGTCAGGACTTGAGGATCCTTCCTGTGGTTGATCTAAATGGCTTTGTAGATGTCTTCAAAGAGGATACAAGCTTTTCAATTACAGCAACCCTTTTGAGAGGTGCCACAGGGTCCACAGGAGTTGCCACTAGCATTGGTGGTGGCGCATGGGTTGCAGGGGAGCCTAGGAGGACAAGGAGGTTTAGAATGGCTTTAGGAGGAGGTTTTAATGCACACAATACCTTGGGCTTAATGACACAACCTATGAATTCTCAGTGGCTGGAGTTAGTTGGAATCAAGTTCTTTTTGTTTTGTTTTGTTTTGTTTTTGAGACAGGGTCTTGCTCTGTTGCCTAGGCTGGAGTGCAGTGGTGCGATCTTGGCTCACTGCAAGTGGGAGCCAAGGCTCACTATGCCTCCCAGGTTCAAGCGATTCTCCTGCCTCAGCCTCCCAAGTAGTTAGGATCACAGGCATGCGTCACCATGCCTGGCTAATTTTTTGTATTTTTGGTAGCGATGGGGTTTCACCATGTTGGCCAGGCTGGTCTTGAACTCCTGACCTCAAGTTATCCACCCACCTCAACCTCCCAAAGTGGATTATAGGCATGAGCCATTGCACCCAGCCAGAATCAAGTTCTGATTACTACCAAACCCTTCTCTCTCTCCCAGAATGCCATGTGCAGAGGTGGAAAAATTGTGCTTTTCAAAAATATTATCTCATACTCTTGAGGTCTCCTGGAACTTAATGTGCCTTACACAAATGTTATTCCTACAACTGGCCAGCTCCTGCCACCACTCCTCCATTGTTAGCCCCCTGAGATAGGGGCTGTTCCCTTACCTTTGGCCTCCCTTTGCTTAGCTATCACAGATCACTGGACACATGCTACACAGTTAATGTGTGTTGCCTGACTAGTTGAAAACATGGCCACCATTTGTGTGCCTACAATATCCCACTGTACACATTCTTCCCAGACATTATTTGCCCCATACTCACTTGCAGTCCTCACTCTCCAGGAGGCTCCGGTACGTGTTGATCTCACACTCCAGCCGGGCACGCACGTCCAGCAGCACCTGGTACTCCTGGTTCTGCCGCTCCAGGTCACAGCGGATCTCTGCCAGCTGAGACTCCACGTTGGTGATCAGGCTCTGCACCTGGGACAGCTGGGAGCTGTAGCGGGCCTCGCTCTCCGTCAGCGTGTTTTCCAGAGAGTCTCGCTGTGGTGGGGAAGATCAGGAATGTCAGAGAGCTGCTCCTTCAAAGGGTTTCTTCACAGGATTACAAGGAAGTCACAAGCTCCAAGAGCTAAGGAGAGTGTGTGGCCCCAAGCACATCCCCGGGACTCTGCCTCCCAAGTTCCCATCGCTCACCAGCAGGTCTGAACAATACACACCAGGTTGTGCTGGGCCTGCAGCTCGATCTCCAGGGCGTTGACTGTGCGTCTCAGCTCGATGATCTCCGCCTGGCAGGACTGCAGCTGCTCTGAGCTGGATACCACCTGCTTGTTCAGCTCCTCGGTCTGAAACACCCAAGTGGGGAAAGGATCAGACCCTGTCTCCAGGGCCCTGGGGCACCTCGGGTCCTGAGTGGCCATGTGCTTAGATGCCCACCTGCGTGGCGAACCATTGCTCCACTTCCCTGCGGTTAGTTTCCACCAGAGCCTCATACTGACTCCTGGTCTCGTTCAGGACCTGGTTCAGGTCCACAGTGGGGGCAGTGTCCACCTCCACGTTGAGGCGGTCTCCAAGCTGGGAGCGCAGGGTGTTAACCTCCTGTTGGAGAAAAGGGAAACAATGAACCTACGGCAATGGATCTGCCATTTTCCTGCTCCAGGGAAATGAGCACAATACTGCCCAAAAAGCACTAAAAGGAATATTCTGATCATTCCCAAAGAGTGACACACACATTTTATAGCAATAAACTCCAACAGGGATCACATCAATTGCTGTCCCATGGAAGATGTGCCATCTTCCTGCTCTGGGAAAATGAGCTTGATGCTGCCCAGAAAGCACTAAAAGGGGCCGGGCACAGTGGCTCAAGCCTGTAATCCCAGCACTTTGGGAGGCAGAGGCAGGTGGATCACGAAGTCAGGAGATCGAAACCATCCTAGCCAACATGGTGAAACCCCATCTCTACTAACAATACAAAAATTAGCTGGGCGTGGTGGCATGTGCCTGTAATCCCAGCTACTCAGGAGGCTGAGGCAAGTGAATCACTTGAACCAGGGAGTCGGATGTTACAGTGAGCCTAGATCACGCCACTGCACTCCAGCCTGGTGACAGAGCATGACTCCGTCAAAAAAAAAAAAAGCACTAAAAGGAAGATTCTGATCATTCCCAAAGAGTGACACACACATTTTATAGCAATAAACTCCAACAGGGATCACGTCAATTGTTGTCCCATAGAAACGGAAACAACCTCACACCTTCTACAAGACTAAGTCTAAACTCCTTGGCATATGCAAGTCCTTCCTCGCTTCCCATCACATCTTCACTTTCATCCCTTGGAGGTACTGCATGCCCAGCCATACCCAGATACACCCTGCCCTGCCACTTCTGTGTCTTTGTTCAACCTCTTCCCTCAGACTGAAACACCCAAGTACTGGAATCCTCCTCTTTGCATCTGAGAAGAGTTCCCTATCTCCTCTTGGGCAGCCTGGATTATTTCTAGAGCATACTGCTTGTACATCTCATATGGTACTTGTTTCACTCTGTCTTGTTTATATCACTGTGTTTATATGACTGTCTTTCTATACTAGACTGTGAGCTCTTTTAAGAAAAGGGCCATGTCTTATTTCTTTTTTGTCCCTCCATCTCCACCACCAAATTCAGGACCTAGCAGTGATCAGCAGAGAGCAGGGCTCAATGAATGATGTCCCTCCTCAGTAATTCCAACACCTGCCTAACCCTCACCCAGCCGCTGAAGAATGAGCAGCTCACTCCACTCCTTGATATGGATGTAGCACCGTCACTCTCTGAGAACATCTTGAGTTCCTCAGAGAAGGGTCCCAGACCAGGGATCCAGACAGTAATCCTCTCCTGATTCCCAGTGCTAGTAGCTTAGTTCTGAGGCCTGCTTTTGTGAATTTGTTTCATACCTCCTCATGGTTCTTCTTCAAGCAGATCAGCTCCTCCCTCAGGGACTCCACCTGGGACTCCAGGTCAGACTTGCAGAGGGTCAGCTCATCCAGGATCCTGCGTATGCTGTTGATGTCCGACTCCACCAACAGCCTCAGGGACTGCTCCGTCTGGTACCTGCACGTGTCGGAGTGGGAGGATAAGTCAGGAAAGAAAACCACCTTCCCCTCTCATGTGTTGTTTGGGTAGAATTGGCCTGAATCTTCTTGAACTTACAGTTTTCTGCCTCTTCTCTTCCATATGCTTCAGTCAAGCTGTCCATGGATAGGCTGAAGAGGTTCCCTGACTCACCTAACACCACGAGGAGCCCACAGGCACACATGAGATGAAGTCTCTCACTGTGTTCTCGGTTTTGTTAGCTAATATACCACCAAATCAATTCCCAAAGAACAATTCATTTCAATCTCTGAATTTTGTGGTTTAAGAAACACTTCCAAAAAAAACCAGTATAGACCAAAGAGCAGGCAGCACATGAGTCTAGTTCCCTATTTGAAACTAATTTTACATAACCAGCCCTAGGAGGAGAAATAGAGAGAAATGGCTTTCTCCTCTCTTCCAGGCAATAGTAGGTCCCTAGGGCCATGAAAGAACCATAGGGACCTTGAAGTTCAACATACTTGCTTCTGAAGTCGTCAGAGGCCAGCTTGGCATTGTCAATGTTCACCACCAGCCTGGCATTCTCAGCCTTGGCACACAGAATCTGAAAAGAAATTTCTCTCATGAGGTACACTTGAACTTGAAAATGTCTTACTGTTCAAAGAGAGCCAGCTGCTGCTGGCCCCCCATATGGCCAACCCCCTCACCTTCTGCTGGAGCTCCTCAATGGTCTTGAAGTACGACTGGTAGCTGGGGCACAGCAAGGGCTCCTGCTGCTGGGACCGCTCCTGGATGAGTTTCTCCAGCTCCGCGTTGTCCCGCTCCAGCTGACGCACCTTCTCCAGGTAGCTGGCCAGGCGGTCGTTCAGGAACTGCATAGTCTCCTTCTCGCTGCCATTGAAGGAGCCCTCACAGAACCAGTTGCAGTTGCTCACATTGGCGGGGATGTTGCAGGCCCCAGGCAGGGTGTAGCCGTGGCAGCTGGGGGGCACGCAGGGCCGGGAGGAGCAGCTGGTGCGGCAGCCCAGGCTGGGCAGGCAACAACTGTAAGACATGGTGCTGGAACAGGTAATGGAAAAGCAGGTAAGCTGCTGGAGGTGGATGTGGGCAGGTTTGAGTCTCTCCTTCCTCTGCAGTCCTTTTATACCATTAATTGTGGGTGGGGGCTTGGCATACAGCATAGTTTCCTTTCCTAATGCTTCAGCTAATTTTTCTCCAAAATATGCTAGTTAGATGCTTCTAAAGAGTCCCCCCTCAACCCATAAAATTATTCCATTCAGCTTATGTCACACCAGGCTCTTCCTGGGTGCTAGTGGTTGGTGAAATCAGAGTTTCATCAGATGGCTTCATAGGAGATAGAATCATCACAGCCCCAAAAGGCTGTCTGCATTACTCAGAGGGGAGGACAGCCAGGGACATGGGGTGGAGTTGTTTGGGAATCAGGGATTCCTCACCCAGGAGTTTCCGCCACTGTTCTTTCTCCCCAGAGAGAGAGCTCTGAGAGAGAGCTTTGAGAGTTACTCTTCCAAGTAGCTCTTTCCTCCCACATTCATCCATGTTTCAGCATTCAATTTGTTTTTATAGCAGAAACTCAACCTGTATTCGCCGAAATGATCCTGAGCCTTACTATTCGTTGGGGTTTAGGGAACTTGCCAACACATGGAGCAACTGAAAACAATGGCATGTTCATGGTTGAGAAATGAGAAAGTAAAATGGAAACCAATGGAATGGATGGGAGTATACCTAAAAGAGGGCATCTGCAAATGGCAGCCCACACGTCAAGTTTACCCTGCTGAATTTTTGTAAATAAAGTTTTTGTTTGTTTGTTTTCTGTTTTTTTTTTTTTGAGACAGAGTCTCACTCTATCATCCAGGCTGGAGTGCAGTGGCACGATCTTGGCTCACTGCAACCTCCGCCTCCTGGGTTCAAGCTATTCCCCTGCCTCAGCCTCCTGAGTAGCTGGGACTACAGGTGTGTGCCACCATGCCTGGCTAATTTTTTTTTTTTTTTTTGTATTTTCAGTACAGATGGGGTTTCACCGTGTTAGCCAGGATGGTCTCAATCTCCTGACCTCGTGATCCACCTGCCTCAGCCTCCCAAAGTGCTGGGATTACAGGCGTGAGCCACTGCACCTGGCCAAAACTTTCCCTCTTCTATGGCCTAAACACACTCACCTGACCAGACATTTCCCAGCAAACTTTATTTCAGAATTATGCTAATATCATACAGTAATCATTGATTGAAGTTGAAACTATGGGAAGTATATAAAGTTTTAATAACCTTCTCATGAATTTTCATTAGTGTTACTCTTCCTTATTTATTCCACTTACAGTATTCCATGGTTTACATCGTCTTTAATTAGGTGATGATATTGCCTCTGCTGAAGGGCCTGCAGTCAACAAGACAGGCAGACAAAATTTATATCAACAGAACATTTGGGTTTTCAAGGCTTTGATTGAGTGCTCCCTCCTTCTTGGAGCCTCTTCTTTTCATTCTCTCACACATCTGAAATTCGTAATTCTTTATCTGCACCTTTCTTGAGCCACACTGATATTTGTCTATGATGACTGTAGCTTTGTCTCATCCACTCTAAACTGTAAAACATGCTGTGGGCCGAGACTGGGATTCACTTATTTGTGTTTCTCAGTACCGCCCACAGTACCCAGCACACACTATAGATGATTGATTGCAGTTGTGTCAATCAGATAGGATTAAATAAAATGGATAATTGAGACTGGCCTATAAAATTGAAAGCTTTAAAAATTCAGGGATGAGGCAAGTGGGGTGGGGTGTGGGGTAAGATTAATGTTTTGGGGGAGATGTTTAATGAACATTGGCCTTTCTTGGAATTATAGAAAATGAAATGATAAAGAGGCTATGGAAGAACATTATGGATAAGACCAAAGATCTAGGGGAAAGAATAAACTTGAAGAGGGGAAAGGTAAGGACTGCATTTAAAGGGTCTATCTGGAGGACAACATGTCAGGCATAACAAGTGGGCGGCAAGATGAACCAGTTTGGGAAAAATACGTTTTAGTCCAATTAAACATGATGTAATGACCTGATACCAAGTGAAGCTGTCATATGCGCAACAGAAAACCTGGAAACTGAGCTGAGATGAGAGGGAGATGTGGCAGTCATCAGCATAGAGGAGCTAGATCTACACGAACAGGGACGTAGAAAGAGAAAGACAGAGGGCTAAGAATATAGGTGTTTCCTTCATTTGGGACAAAAAGGGGAAGACAGCTAACAAGACAACAGAGAACAGGTAATTAGAGATATTACAAGAAGACCCAGAGTGTGCAGGGTTATGGAAATCAATGAAGGTGTATTTTAAGGGAGGAGTAGGTATCTATATCAGCAAGGCAGCAGCAGCAGAGAGGTTGAGAGGAGAGAATCACTGCTCTTTGAACAGTTTCTGTAGAAGCAGTTTCTGTAGTTTCTTCAGGCAGTTTAGGAGAAAGGGAAGCAGAACATTCTATTCTGATGAGGGTGAGAGCTGGAGATAGCAGTGAAGTCTGGGGAGGCTTTGCAAAATTGCCAAGGGCCCTGTAGTCAAGGCAAGGTAAGCATGGGTATTGAAGGCCAGGTTTCCTGCATGGCCTACCCTGGGTGGGAGTCTCCCAGAAGGACGTCCTTCCCTGTCTACATCAGTGTTTCTGGTGAAGCATAAAGGCTTGGCTCAGTCATTTACTTCATTTTATTCTCCTAATGAAGGGGTATTTTTATGAAACAGCCATGATGAGTAATTTACAATGCATGAATATGAATGAGAAACATTTATTATGCCAGAGAAATGAAGTTTATTGGGAAGTAAATGAAGTCTCCTCCTTGCATTCCAGAGAATGCCAAAGAAAAAAGGAAAACAGGAAATGCAGTAGTACGTTCAGGAAACACCTTAAGTAGTAACTGGAGCTCAGATTACAGGGAGCTGAACATCTTTAGAAACAAACAGGCTCGACCCTCAACAGGAAGGAGTTGTCCAGACATTGGAAGTTGATGATGTGTGTCTTTGCTTGGGTCAGGAAAGCTTTTCAGCATTCTAGAAATAACATAGAGGCAAGATGAGGTTTCTTGATGTCAGCTGAGCTCCAGAAAAGTCAGGACTTGAGGATCCTTCCTGTGGTTGATCTAAATGGCTTTGTAGATGTCTTCAAAGAGGATACAAGCTTTTCAATTACAGCAACCCTTTTGAGAGGTGCCACAGGGTCCACAGGAGTTGCCACTAGCATTGGTGGTGGCGCATGGGTTGCAGGGGAGCCTAGGAGGACAAGGAGGTTTAGAATGGCTTTAGGAGGAGGTTTTAATGCACACAATACCTTGGGCTTAATGACACAACCTATGAATTCTCAGTGGCTGGAGTTAGTTGGAATCAAGTTCTTTTTGTTTTGTTTTGTTTTGTTTTTGAGACAGGGTCTTGCTCTGTTGCCTAGGCTGGAGTGCAGTGGTGCGATCTTGGCTCACTGCAAGTGGGAGCCAAGGCTCACTATGCCTCCCAGGTTCAAGCGATTCTCCTGCCTCAGCCTCCCAAGTAGTTAGGATCACAGGCATGCGTCACCATGCCTGGCTAATTTTTTGTATTTTTGGTAGCGATGGGGTTTCACCATGTTGGCCAGGCTGGTCTTGAACTCCTGACCTCAAGTGATCCACCCACCTCAACCTCCCAAAGTGGATTATAGGCATGAGCCATTGCACCCAGCCAGAATCAAGTTCTGATTACTACCAAACCCTTCTCTCTCTCCCAGAATGCCATGTGCAGAGGTGGAAAAATTGTGCTTTTCAAAAATATTATCTCATACTCTTGAGGTCTCCTGGAACTTAATGTGCCTTACACAAATGTTATTCCTACAACTGGCCAGCTCCTGCCACCACTCCTCCATTGTTAGCCCCCTGAGATAGGGGCTGTTCCCTTACCTTTGGCCTCCCTTTGCTTAGCTATCACAGATCACTGGACACATGCTACACAGTTAATGTGTGTTGCCTGACTAGTTGAAAACATGGCCACCATTTGTGTGCCTACAATATCCCACTGTACACATTCTTCCCAGACATTATTTGCCCCATACTCACTTGCAGTCCTCACTCTCCAGGAGGCTCCGGTACGTGTTGATCTCACACTCCAGCCGGGCACGCACGTCCAGCAGCACCTGGTACTCCTGGTTCTGCCGCTCCAGGTCACAGCGGATCTCTGCCAGCTGAGACTCCACGTTGGTGATCAGGCTCTGCACCTGGGACAGCTGGGAGCTGTAGTGGGCCTCGCTCTCCGTCAGCGTGTTTTCCAGAGAGTCTCGCTGTGGTGGGGAAGATCAGGAATGTCAGAGAGCTGCTCCTTCAAAGGGTTTCTTCACAGGATTACAAGGAAGTCACAAGCTCCAAGAGCTAAGGAGAGTGTGTGGCCCCAAGCACATCCCCGGGACTCTGCCTCCCAAGTTCCCATCGCTCACCAGCAGGTCTGAACAATACACACCAGGTTGTGCTGGGCCTGCAGCTCGATCTCCAGGGCGTTGACTGTGCGTCTCAGCTCGATGATCTCCGCCTGGCAGGACTGCAGCTGCTCTGAGCTGGATACCACCTGCTTGTTCAGCTCCTCGGTCTGAAACACCCAAGTGGGGAAAGGATCAGACCCTGTCTCCAGGGCCCTGGGGCACCTCGGGTCCTGAGTGGCCATGTGCTTAGATGCCCACCTGCGTGGCGAACCATTGCTCCACTTCCCTGCGGTTAGTTTCCACCAGAGCCTCATACTGACTCCTGGTCTCGTTCAGGACCTGGTTCAGGTCCACAGTGGGGGCAGTGTCCACCTCCACGTTGAGGCGGTCTCCAAGCTGGGAGCGCAGGGTGTTAACCTCCTGTTGGAGAAAAGGGAAACAATGAACCTACGGCAATGGATCTGCCATTTTCCTGCTCCAGGGAAATGAGCACAATACTGCCCAAAAAGCACTAAAAGGAATATTCTGATCATTCCCAAAGAGTGACACACACATTTTATAGCAATAAACTCCAACAGGGATCACATCAATTGCTGTCCCATGGAAGATGTGCCATCTTCCTGCTCTGGGAAAATGAGCTTGATGCTGCCCAGAAAGCACTAAAAGGGGCCGGGCACAGTGGCTCAAGCCTGTAATCCCAGCACTTTGGGAGGCAGAGGCAGGTGGATCACGAAGTCAGGAGATCGAAACCATCCTAGCCAACATGGTGAAACCCCATCTCTACTAACAATACAAAAATTAGCTGGGCGTGGTGGCATGTGCCTGTAATCCCAGCTACTCAGGAGGCTGAGGCAAGTGAATCACTTGAACCAGGGAGTCGGATGTTACAGTGAGCCTAGATCACGCCACTGCACTCCAGCCTGGTGACAGAGCATGACTCCGTCAAAAAAAAAAAAAGCACTAAAAGGAAGATTCTGATCATTCCCAAAGAGTGACACACACATTTTATAGCAATAAACTCCAACAGGGATCACGTCAATTGTTGTCCCATAGAAACGGAAACAACCTCACACCTTCTACAAGACTAAGTCTAAACTCCTTGGCATATGCAAGTCCTTCCTCGCTTCCCATCACATCTTCACTTTCATCCCTTGGAGGTACTGCATGCCCAGCCATACCCAGATACACCCTGCCCTGCCACTTCTGTGTCTTTGTTCAACCTCTTCCCTCAGACTGAAACACCCAAGTACTGGAATCCTCCTCTTTGCATCTGAGAAGAGTTCCCTATCTCCTCTTGGGCAGCCTGGATTATTTCTAGAGCATACTGCTTGTACATCTCATATGGTACTTGTTTCACTCTGTCTTGTTTATATCACTGTGTTTATATGACTGTCTTTCTATACTAGACTGTGAGCTCTTTTAAGAAAAGGGCCATGTCTTATTTCTTTTTTGTCCCTCCATCTCCACCACCAAATTCAGGACCTAGCAGTGATCAGCAGAGAGCAGGGCTCAATGAATGATGTCCCTCCTCAGTAATTCCAACACCTGCCTAACCCTCACCCAGCCGCTGAAGAATGAGCAGCTCACTCCACTCCTTGATATGGATGTAGCACCGTCACTCTCTGAGAACATCTTGAGTTCCTCAGAGAAGGGTCCCAGACCAGGGATCCAGACAGTAATCCTCTCCTGATTCCCAGTGCTAGTAGCTTAGTTCTGAGGCCTGCTTTTGTGAATTTGTTTCATACCTCCTCATGGTTCTTCTTCAAGCAGATCAGCTCCTCCCTCAGGGACTCCACCTGGGACTCCAGGTCAGACTTGCAGAGGGTCAGCTCATCCAGGATCCTGCGTATGCTGTTGATGTCCGACTCCACCAACAGCCTCAGGGACTGCTCCGTCTGGTACCTGCACGTGTCGGAGTGGGAGGATAAGTCAGGAAAGAAAACCACCTTCCCCTCTCATGTGTTGTTTGGGTAGAATTGGCCTGAATCTTCTTGAACTTACAGTTTTCTGCCTCTTCTCTTCCATATGCTTCAGTCAAGCTGTCCATGGATAGGCTGAAGAGGTTCCCTGACTCACCTAACACCACGAGGAGCCCACAGGCACACATGAGATGAAGTCTCTCACTGTGTTCTCGGTTTTGTTAGCTAATATACCACCAAATCAATTCCCAAAGAACAATTCATTTCAATCTCTGAATTTTGTGGTTTAAGAAACACTTCCAAAAAAAACCAGTATAGACCAAAGAGCAGGCAGCACATGAGTCTAGTTCCCTATTTGAAACTAATTTTACATAACCAGCCCTAGGAGGAGAAATAGAGAGAAATGGCTTTCTCCTCTCTTCCAGGCAATAGTAGGTCCCTAGGGCCATGAAAGAACCATAGGGACCTTGAAGTTCAACATACTTGCTTCTGAAGTCGTCAGAGGCCAGCTTGGCATTGTCAATGTTCACCACCAGCCTGGCATTCTCAGCCTTGGCACACAGAATCTGAAAAGAAATTTCTCTCATGAGGTACACTTGAACTTGAAAATGTCTTACTGTTCAAAGAGAGCCAGCTGCTGCTGGCCCCCCATATGGCCAACCCCCTCACCTTCTGCTGGAGCTCCTCAATGGTCTTGAAGTACGACTGGTAGCTGGGGCACAGCAAGGGCTCCTGCTGCTGGGACCGCTCCTGGATGAGTTTCTCCAGCTCCGCGTTGTCCCGCTCCAGCTGACGCACCTTCTCCAGGTAGCTGGCCAGGCGGTCGTTCAGGAACTGCATAGTCTCCTTCTCGCTGCCATTGAAGGAGCCCTCACAGAACCAGTTGCAGTTGCTCACATTGGCGGGGATGTTGCAGGCCCCAGGCAGGGTGTAGCCGTGGCAGCTGGGGGGCACGCAGGGCCGGGAGGAGCAGCTGGTGCGGCAGCCCAGGCTGGGCAGGCAACAACTGTAAGACATGGTGCTGGAACAGGTAATGGAAAAGCAGGTAAGCTGCTGGAGGTGGATGTGGGCAGGTTTGAGTCTCTCCTTCCTCTGCAGTCCTTTTATACCATTAATTGTGGGTGGGGGCTTGGCATACAGCATAGTTTCCTTTCCTAATGCTTCAGCTAATTTTTCTCCAAAATATGCTAGTTAGATGCTTCTAAAGAGTCCCCCCTCAACCCATAAAATTATTCCATTCAGCTTATGTCACACCAGGCTCTTCCTGGGTGCTAGTGGTTGGTGAAATCAGAGTTTCATCAGATGGCTTCATAGGAGATAGAATCATCACAGCCCCAAAAGGCTGTCTGCATTACTCAGAGGGGAGGACAGCCAGGGACATGGGGTGGAGTTGTTTGGGAATCAGGGATTCCTCACCCAGGAGTTTCCGCCACTGTTCTTTCTCCCCAGAGAGAGAGCTCTGAGAGAGAGCTTTGAGAGTTACTCTTCCAAGTAGCTCTTTCCTCCCACATTCATCCATGTTTCAGCATTCAATTTGTTTTTATAGCAGAAACTCAACCTGTATTCGCCGAAATGATCCTGAGCCTTACTATTCGTTGGGGTTTAGGGAACTTGCCAACACATGGAGCAACTGAAAACAATGGCATGTTCATGGTTGAGAAATGAGAAAGTAAAATGGAAACCAATGGAATGGATGGGAGTATACCTAAAAGAGGGCATCTGCAAATGGCAGCCCACACGTCAAGTTTACCCTGCTGAATTTTTGTAAATAAAGTTTTTGTTTGTTTGTTTTCTGTTTTTTTTTTTTTGAGACAGAGTCTCACTCTGTCGCCCAGGCTGGAGTGCAGTGGCACGATCTCGGCTCACTGCAACCTCCACCTCCCGGGTTCAAGCAATTATCTGCCTCAGCCCCCCGAGTAGCTGGGATTACAGGTGCCCGCCACCACACCCGGCTAATTTTTGTGTTTTTAGCAGAAATGGGGTTTCACCATGTTGGCCAGGCTGCTCTTGAACTCCTGAACTCGTGATCCGCCCGCCTCGGCCTCCCGAAGTGCTGGGATTACAGGCGTGAGCCAATGCGTCCGGCAGTAAATAAAGTTTTAATGGAACACAGCCATGCCCATTTGTTTAGCTATTGTATATGGCTGCTTTTGTGCTACAGTGGCAGAGTTGTGTAGTTGTGACAGAGACTATAGTGTCCACAAAGCCCTAAAATTAAAAAATTTGCCAACTTGTACTAAAGCAACAGCCTCTCTAAAGATGAGCAAGAGTAGAAATATCTAGAAGAAAAAATATGCTGGAAACAGTCTGGAGCAGTGAGAGTTCAGATGGCAGCACTGAAGCATGAATATGAAGCATAATACTGCAGACTCACCAAGAAACGAAAATTGGAGCAAGGGTGCTCAGAGGTATCTTTGTATCCATGGTGGCTTTTTCTCAAATTCTCTGGAAATTTCTATCATCTTATTTCTAGACTTGTTCCTCTTTCTAGAGTATTAACTCTCCTAGAGGTATGACTATGCCAGCCTGAGATGCTTCCAGGACAAGCCACAGTGCCCATGAGAATGCAGATTTACTCTGTTGTCCCTACAAGTAGACACTGTCTCTGATAAGTGTGCTTCTATCACCTCTGGGATCCAGTTACCCTTTGACTCTTGCATAACCTAGGGAGCCTCTCTATTGCCCAATAATCACTCTTCACAGAATAGCCTTCCCTACCTCACTTCTTTTCCCTGTCACTCTACCTTGCCTTTGTTCCGCAGGGAAACAAAGTCATGTTTCAGAAAGAAGTCCCAAAAGATTATTTGTGGAACACAATACGAATCATTTAAAGAAGGCTGCATCTGAATTTCAAAAGCAGCATGAGAGGAGCAGAAAAGCACATCTTCGATTTTATTTATTTGAGTGTTTCCTCTTTTTTTCTTAGTCTATCTAGAGGTTTGTAAATTTTCTGTGTCTTTCAAAAAAACTCTGTTTCATTGATTTTTTGCTATTGTTTTTCTAGTCTCTATTTTTATTTATTTCTGCTCTAAGTTTTATCGTAAGTATCATAATAAAATTTAGAGCAAAAAGTGTTATTATATCCTTCCTGCTGCTAACTTTGAGCTTAGTTTGTTCTTTATCTTTTTTAATTTTTTAATTTTTGTAGGTACATGGTAGGCGTGTGTGTATGTTTAGATATAGGTTTATGTATATACATATATAAAACTTTCCTCTTAGTACTGCTTTTGCTGCATCCCATAAATTTTGATACGTTGTGTTCTCATTTTCATTTGTCTCAAGATATTTTCTAATTTCCTTTTTGATTTCTTCTTTGACCCATTGATTATTTAAATGTTTTTTAATTTCTACATATTTGTGTATTTTTCAGTTTTTTTCTTATTTCCGTTCTAGTTTTCTAGTTTCATTCCATTGTGGTAGGAAAAGATACTTAGTATGATTTCAATCCTCTTAAATTCGTTAAGACTTGTTTTGTGACCCAACATATGATCTATCCTGGACAATGTTCCGCATGCACTGGAGAATATGCATTCTGCTACCATTGGATAGAACGTGTTATTTGTTAGGTCCATTTGTTCTATAGTATTGCTCAAATCTGTTGTTTCCTTGTTGATTTTCTATCTGAATGTTCTATTCATTATCAAAAGTGAGTTACTGAATTCTTCTATTATTGCATTGTCCATTTCTCCCTTTGGTTCTGTCAATGTTTGTTATATATATATTAGGTGCTCTGATGTTGGGTTCATATATGTGTGCAATTGTTATATCTTCCTGGTGAGTTTTTTCATTATTATATAATGTTCTTCTTTGCCTTTTGTGACAATTTTTGACTTAAAGACTATTTTGTCTGATATATAAGTACAGCCATCCTGCTGTCTTTTGGTTACCATTTGTACGGAATATTTTTTTTCCCATTCCTTCACTTTCAGCCTATACATTGTCTTTAAATCTAAAGTCAGTCTCTTCTAGATAGTATGTAGATAGTACTTGTTGGTTTTTTGAAAATCCATTCAGCTACTCCATGTCTTTTGATTGGAGAGTTTAATTCATTTACATTTCAATAAATTATTGATAGGGAAAGACTAATATTGCCATTTTGTTAATTCTTTTGTCTTTCTCAGAGTTCTTTTGTCTCTCTTTTCCTATCTTGCTGTCTTCCTTTGTGTTGCATGGATTTTTGTATCGATATGTTTTTATTCTTTTTTCTTTTTCTTTTGTGTATCTTCTATAGGTATTTTTTTGTGATCATCATAGGGCTTATATGAAACAACTTATAACTGTCTGTTTTCAGCTGATAACTTTCACTGCATACAAAAACTACTCTTTTGCTTCTCCCACACACATCTTTTATGTATTGATGTCATTATTTACATCTTGTTATATTGCATATGCATTAACCTATTTTTATAGTTATAGTTATTTTTAATACTTTTATCTTTTAAATTTTATAGTAGAGGGCCAAGTGTGGTGGCTCACACCTATAATCCCAGCACTTTTGGAGGCTGAGGAGGGCAGATCACCTGAGGTCAGGAGTTCGAGAACATCCTGGCCAACATGGAGAAACTCTGTCTGTACTAAAAATATAAATATTAGCTGGGCGTGGTGGCAGGCACCTATAATCCCAGCTACTCAGGAGGCTGAGACAGGAGAATCGCTTGAACCCGGGAGGCGGAGGTTGCAGTGAGCCAAGATCACACCACTGCATACCAGCCTGGGTGACAAGAGTGAAACTCTGTCTCAAAAATAAATAAATAAATAAATAAATAAATAAATAAATAAATAAATAAATTTTATAGTAGAATTAAAAGAGTGATTTACCTACCACCATTATAGTATTACAGTAGTCTATATTTATCAGTATATTTACATTTACCAGCAAGTTTTATACTTTCACATGCATTTATATTACTGTTTAACATCCTTTTGTTCCAACTTAAAGAACTTCCTTTAACATTTTTTGTAAGGCAGGTCCAGCGATGATGAACTACCTCAGCTTTTGTTTATCTATAAAAGTCTGTATCTCTCCTTCAGTTTTGAAGGATAATTGTACTGGGAATGATATTCTTGGTTGGCAGTTTGTTTGTTGGTTGGTTGGTTTGTTTTCAGCACTTTAAATATATTATCCCATGTCCTTCCGGCCTGCAAAGTTTCTGCTAAGAAATGTATTAATTACCTTATGGAGGTTCCCTTGTACATGATGTCACTTTTCTCTTGCTGCTTTCAAAATTCCCTATTTGTCTTTGACTTCTGACAATTCAATTATAATGTGTATCACTTTGATTTATCTGAACATCTTATTTGGGATACACTGGGCTTCCTGGATCTGGATGTCAATGTTCTTTCTCAGGTTTCAGGAGTTTTGAGCCATTATTTTTTTTAATAAGTTTTCTAAACTTTCTCTCTCTCTTCTCCTTCTGGATCTTCCTAATGTGAATGTTGGTCTGCCTGATGATGTCCCATACATCTCTTAAGCTTTCTTTACTCTTTTTTATTCTTTTTTCTTTTTGTTCCTCTGGATAATTTCCAATGGCCTGACTTTGAGTTCACTGATCCTATCTCCTGCTTGATTTAGTGTGCTATTGAATCCCTCTATTGAATTTTTCAATTCAGTTATTGTATTTTTCAGCAGCATGATTTCTGTTTGGTACTTTTTGTATTTTCTGCCTTTTTGTTGAAAATTCTCACTTTGTGTATTGTTCTTCTGGCCTTGCAGAGCATCTTTAATTATGGTTATTTTGTTTTTGTTTTGTTTTGTTGAGACAGAGTCTCGCTGTGTTGCCCAGGATGGAGTGCAGTGGCATGATTTCGGCTCACTGCAACCTCCACCTCCTGGGTTCAAGCATTTCTCATGCCTCAGCCTCCTGAGTAGCTGGGATTACAGTTGCGCACCACTGTGCCCAGCCAATTTTTATATTTTTAGTAGAGATGGGGTTTTGCCCTGTTGGCCAGGCTGGTCTCAAACTCCTGACCTCAAGTGATCTACCCACCTCGGCCTCCCAAAGTGCTGGGATTACAAGCATGAGCCATTATGCCCAGCCTGTGATTATATGGTTATTTTGAATTCTCTATTTTGAATATATGGTTATTTCAAATTCTCTTTCGGGTAAATTGTATATCTCTTTCATTGGGGTCAACTTCAGGAGATTTATCTTGTACCTTTGTTTAGGACATATTTCCCTGTTTCTTCATTATCCTTGGATCTTTGTGCTGGTGTCTGTGCATTAGACAAAACAGCCACCTCTCCCAATCTTCACGGACTGGCCTTGTACTGGAGAAGACCTTCACCAATCAGCCCAGCCAGAGATACTGGGGACCTCTCAAATTTTTGTGCTAGTCCAAACCACCATCTTTGCAGCCTCCAGGCATCTTGAGTATGGCTAGTTTCCATAGCACTCTGGCACAGGTGAGACAGAAGCCCATCCCTGATACTGTCCACAGAAAAGACAGAATATTGGACACAGGTCTAACTCTTTCTCTCTCCAGGGAGAGCCTGGGACCCAGGGTTTTTCACTGGCTCGCTCTGAACTTGGCCGGGGGAGAGGGCTGTGGTGAATATTCATATGCTAGTTAAAATTACCCTCTTTGTTCTCAATGGCTCCTAGACGTCTGGAGTATTCTGGATTCCATCCGCATTCTAAGACAGGCAAGACAGAAGCTAGTGCATTGGCAGCTCTCAGAAAAATCTGAATGTTGAATGTATGGTCCAGTTATTTCCTCCTCTCCCTGCAAAGAAGCTGGGAGGGGGATTTCCTCCTAACCATATGATACTATGCTGAGAAAGCAGGGATTATTGTGATAGAGTATCTTAAAATCTTTCTACCAACTTTGATTTGGCTGGTTTTACACTCATCCAGGGTGCAAGAGCCTCTCAAATTGTTACTAGATTTCTCACAAATAAAATTTATCTGAGTATTATTATTGAATTAGTGTGCCCATGACGGTGAGGAGGGTCCAGGGCTGCTTATTCCCTCATCTTGCTGATGTCACTCTCCAAAAAACACGAATTTGAAATTAAATGACCTGGATTTACATCCTTACCTATGATATGAGCTCAGAGAAGTTCATTCCCTTTTTTGAGTCTTGTTTATCTCATCTCTTGAATTGAAATAATAATAATGCTGCCTACCTCATAGTTTTGTTTTTTTGTTTGTTTGTTTTTGTTTTTGTTTTTTTTTGCAAAAGGTAAGGTATTGTGTGTGAACATGTTTGGGGGAGGGAGTGATGATGTTTATTTCCATAAACTTCATTGTTCCTATTGTTGACCCAGGTGGCTCAGATGAAGAATTTTGTGAAAATTCTACTTCGTTAAGCAGACAAATTGCCCATTGCCCATCCCAACCCAGTGGTGCTCAAACTTCACCCACTTACCTTGTAAGTACTAGGGGCACAGAACTCTATTCATAAATTAACCATCAAAATGCAAATGTTAACATTAACTTAGTGGTTGAAATAGGAAGTTGCAGATAACCATTACCTCTATCTTCTCTGCTAAGTTCCTGATCTTGTGGGTTTGGTTATCTTATTTGGGGTAGTTCTGGAGGAGGACAAGTTCTCCACATGAAATTGTAATATCACCAAAGCCTCTTTTCTGGTACTGGGATTGAAATGTGCTTTTGTTATCCTCTTGGAATCTTCTAGCCTTATAGCTCTGTGCAAGCATTTGTAATAATGATAATAATGGCAGTGTTGTTGTTGATGATGATTCTGCCATTTCATCAAGGCTTATTAGATGCCAAACAAGGCACTAAGCACTTTGGCACATTTCTCATTTGATTCTCCCAACAACTGTATAAAGTTGGCCTATTATTCCCATGTTACAGATAAAGAAATAAACTGGGAAAGGCTCCACATTTGCCCTAGATACAGGCAATAAATGGTGGAGCAGGGATTTGAACAATTCAGGTTTATGACTCCTGATCATGAACACCTAAACACAGTACAAAACCTTTATATTTGGCACAGAGGTTTCTCTGGTTTGTGAGGGAAATATTCATTGCTTCCCATTGCCCCTTACTTCGTAGTTTTTCCTTCTGGTCCCCTCTAGGGCCCTGTTCCCCACCCCTTCATACTCCATCATTCCTCCAAAGGCCTCTCTGCCCAAACCTTTGAGCACCCAGCTAATCTCTATGGTACCTTCCTGAACTAAGGCCAAGTCTTACTCATTTATTTTTCTCCACAGGGAAATAATCGTCCTTTTGCATAATTGATCCAAACTGGAAACTAGATTGTCTTTTCTGAATATCTAAGCAAATTAAAATGCATAATCACATGACCTAAGTGATTTAGAACTTAGAAGAAAGACTACCCTTCTAACCATGAGTTTTAATCCTGTAAAAGTTCATCTCAGAAGTAAATTCAGTTTCCTACAATCAAAGAACTCTAAAGCTAGAAGGACCTGAATTTATGGAGGAGAAAACTAGTGCCCAGACAGTAAGGTAGTAAGGAAATGAATATCAATCAATCACTTTCTAGTCAGATAGTCTACTAGGTACCTTTGCATATAGTATTTCATCCTCACCCCAGAACCTGAGTGTTCAGGTTCCATTTTTGTCACCATGTAGCAGAGATGAAGAATCTGAAATGTTGGGAGTAAATTTAACTCATTCAAAATGACACAAGTAAGCAGGCTTCAGTCGGCCTGACCCATCATATTTATTGTGAGTTAGAGAGATGAGACACTGACCTAGGCCAGGCTGTGACAAAACATAACAGCTGGGAGAAAATGCAGAAGAGAGATCATGGATTCCAATACCAGCTATGAGCACCAGACAAGACACACCTAGGCTTCCTGCACATCACTTTACTCCTCAGCAAACTGGGAGTTTAAAAAGTAACAAATCCCATCTGGGCGCAGTGGCTCACGCCTGTAATCCCAGCACTTTGGGAGGCCGAGGCAGGCAGATCACGAGGTCAAGAGATGGAGACCATCCTGGCCAACATGGTGAAACCCCGTCTCTACTAAAATACAAAAAATTAGCTGGGTGTGGTGGTGGGCGCCTGTAGTTCCAGCTACCTAGGAGGCTGAGGGAAGAGAATTGCTTGAACCTGGGAGGCAGAGGTTGCAGTGAGCTGAGATCGCACCACTGCACTCCAACCTGGTGACAGAGCGAGACTCCATCTCCAAAAAAAAAAAGTAACAAATCCCACAAGCTTATCATGGCATGGCTTGGCTCCTGGAAGTAACGGGATGTGCTTATATAGAGGAAAATGCTGAGCGCTCCTGGACAGCCTGCTGTTCTTCCTGCAGATGCTGACAGCAGCCTCAGGCCTCAAAAAACTCAAATGATGGCTTTAACTCCAGATGTAAGGATGGAAAAAAAAGTGCCTTAGCTCCATCCCAAAGTAAACATAAAATTTGCAGGGAAACAGAAAGGAAAAGAAACAGCAAAAGTATCCAGGAGATAAGCCTAGGGAAAAGTCAAAGGTCGGAGAGTGGTAGATACTGCCGGCTAAGAGTTTAGACCAAGACAGCTCAGGAGGCAATAAAACAGGTCACCAAAGAGCATCAGACATGCCAAATAGCCCAGACAACTGAAAAAGGAGCTGCCCGCCCACCTATCACAAGAGGAGCCTGGGGCCAAAAAGTATCAAATATGCCGAGCAGACCATACACTTCTGGTGCACAGCTGGGTTTAAAGAAGAAAGAATTTATGGTGTGAAAGACAATACGACAATATGCAAATCCTGCTGTTGAACCTAAATCCAAAAAGAAAAAGAAAATGATGATACTTTTTTAACCTTAAGAAACTTAGCTATACCGGCAATAATAAAAATTGTCAATAATCCTAATAAAAATATGTGGTCTACAAAGTGTTTCCATAAACAGTTTTCCATGCTTCCTTTGGCAAGTTTATAAAGTAAGTAGAGAAGACACGGTTATCTCCACTCTACCTTTGGGGCAACTAAAGCTAGGAGAAGCCACATGTCTTATCCAAAGACACAGAGCTATTAAGGTCGTAAATGTCAGAGCTAGAATCCAGGTTCTGGTAAGTGAGTCTCAACCTAGCTCATTGGAGGCTCATCACCTGTAGAGCTTCTAAAACTCCCAGTGACCAGGCTGAATCCCAGATCAATTAAATCAGACTCCCTGAGAGCAGACTCAAGCCTCAAAAAATTGTTTAAGTTCCCTGGGTGATTTCAAACACAGCCAAGGTTGAGAACCACTGTCCTGCCGTGTGTCTGATGATGATGACAGAGCACCTGGAAATAATTTGAAAGCCACATGGAAATGTTTAAGGGGAGGTATAGCTACAACGATTGAGATTTTTATGGTTTAAAAAACATGGCAGAATTTACAGATCCTATAAATTTTGCCTCCAGCCAGAATTTTTCTTTATTCCAGGATGCCATCTCTAGTCAAAGCACGTTTAGAAAGTTCTGTTTTGTTAATGTCTGTATCTTTTTAATATCCAGTTTGCTGATAACAAACCTTTGTCCTTTGAGGATAGGTTTGACTTTTTTGAAGCTGTTCAAAGAGAAACCTTGTGAGTGACGTAGACAATCAATTTGGATCATTTTTAAAACCACCTCCATAGGATTGTGACTCATAATTGAATCTAAAGGCAGTTCCTGAAGAGACTTGCCAAAAATTAGTGGGAATCTGTGCATAGGGTTCAACAATGTGAATGTACTTAATGCCCCTGAATTGTACATTAAAAATGGCTAAAATGGTAAATTTTATGTTGTACATATTTTACCACAATAAAAATAAAATCAGAGGTCTGGCAAGGTTACGTTTCTCTTTAAAGGGTCTAGAGGAGAATCCTTGCTTTTTCCAAGGTCTAGAGATGACCTGCATTCTTTGGCTCATGACCCACTTCCTCCATCTTCAAATCCTGCAAGGACAAGGCAGGTTCTTCTCACATCACATCACTCTGACCTGGGTCCATAGTTTCATCACCTTCTCACTCTTCTGCCTCCCTCTTCCACTTTTAAGAACCCTGAGTCCACCTGATAATCCGAGATAATCTCCCTATCGTAAAGTCAGCTGATTAGCAACTTTAATTCCATCTGCAACTTCGATTTCCTTTTTTATGTAATCTAACATATTCCCAGGTTCCAGGAATTAGAACATGAACATTTTGATGAGGGATGGAGGGGACAATTATTCTGTCTACCACAGGAGCTATTAGCAGTACTTTTGTATTATTGTAAAATAATATACATAAGCAGGATGTGGAATAAAGAAACAAGCAACATGAGAGAGAGCCTCTGGACTGAGCTTGACCTTGGGTTTGGAGGAAATCACAGACACAGGGTGAATCATAGTAGAGACAGAGTTCCAGGTCAGAGGTTTCTCACAAGCCAAGCAGCAAAGCACAAATCCAAATCCATCCTGGAACTTGAGTTTTAAAAAGAAGAATCAAGGGAGAAATTATGGTGGAGAGAATCATCGCTTTATGAAAACAAACAAAAATATATTTTTTATATATATTTATTTATATATATATATACATATAAAATTCCGATTCACTTGATCATTTTAGGACACAGGACTATGTTTCACCCAGGTGGAGTCTGATACCCGCTGGGAAAGCCTGGTGTGGTGGGAAAAGTCAGAGACCTCTGATCCCTTCAGATCAAAATGGCCCTCTATGTTTTCGGGAGGTCTATGCTTAAACACTTCCATGGGTCTTCATGAGAGTCAAAGAAAGATGCCCTTTCTTGATAAACACCGATGCCATTGGGTACCAGCATTGTCCCTTTCGGTACTCAGAGTTCCTTCTAGCACCCACCAGCTGTTCACAGTGCCAGGGGACTGGGCCTTATAAGAGCACTACTTGGGGACTAGTTTTTTAACAAATTATCAGTAAGTTGCAGTCAGGAACTGTGTGTTTCTTCATGTGTCTCTACCCATCCCACCACCCAGCGTCTGCACAGAGTAGGTATTCAACAGGTACTGGTTGGATTGAATTGAGAAAGGCCAAAGGATCAAATAAAGAGTTGACGGGGTCTCTAAGACCTGGAGTCGAGGAGGGAGGACAGAAGCTGGAAGCCCAGGCTGATAATGATCGACCCACACAAGGGAAAGGAGGAATTCCTGGGTATAGCAGGGCAGGTCAGAGGGTTTCTTCGCTGGGAAATGCCTGGACCACCAATAACCCAGAATAATACAGCACTGAACCTGAAACTCCTGCTGAAAGAACATGAGTTTTCCAGAGCTTCTTTCCAGCCCGCAGCTCATGCCTCCTCCATTCAGAATAGGATACAAGCAGCTCTGGGAGATGTCCAAGTTAGAAGGGAAATCCAAGAATAGCTAAGGGGAGATAGGGACTGCAGCACTCAGCACCTCCACCCTCCTTCCCACTGGCCTGCCTGCCTCGCTCCTGGGTCCAGGGCACCAGATTCACCATCTTCCCCTGAGGCATGAAACTGCTCTGGTATCCAAGAGTCAGGCCATTATATGGCCTGTCTTTCAAGTGGCTTTTTATAGCGTACTCAGGTGATGAGCACGTTGAAACAAATGAATACAAATGAAAAAGGCATCTGCTTTGCCAAGGAAATGATATTTATTAGGAGGTTAAAAGGGAGGGCCACTGGCACATCAGAGAGTTCTCTGGGTGAGCATAGGAAGGAACAGACCCCCAGGAAGGAAAGGGTGAGCAGGACAGTCTGGAGTAGTTGGGGAGGCTACAGGCTTTGGGTGAGTTTCTTGGCTGCCTTACGCGGGCAACTCCAGCCATGCAAATGATGTTTTCAGGCCCCTTTTGTTGAACCAGAGCCAGGTCACAGCTCTGGAGTCCTGGGCCCTGCATCCTTGCTCCTCTGGCATTCCCTAGGTTCTAGCGCACGAAGGAATTGCAGGGCCCACAGCGGGGGCGTGGGGCACAGGGTGTGCAGGGGGCAGGAGGGACACAAGAGGTACAGGGATTGGAGAGACAGGGTCCGATGGGCTTGCTGCACGCGTTGGTCGTGGCACAGGGATTGCTGGGCAGACTGGAGACAAAAGAATGATGTGGAAAAGTGAGTTAAGGGCAATTTTAAAATCATATGCCAGAGATATCCCCAAGGGTAAGAATGCCTGGGTCAAGGGACTTGACCTGGCCTAGAACAGAAAAGGCACAGACTCCCCTGCTACAAAGATAACTAACTCAAATTGTTAATGGTCTCCCTGCCATAGAGCACCAAGGTAGACAGAAACTCTGAAACTCTGATGTCTACTCTCAAATCCATTCATGCCAAACTGATGACATGGGGTGAGTCATTTACCTTCTCCAAGCCCCAGTTTACTTTCCTGTAGAATGGAGGGAATACTGATCCAGCCCACCTGGTGGTAATTATAAGATCAAATCAGGTAGCCTATGGGAATGTACCCACTAGGCAATACAGTATTGTAAAAAGTAAGGCATTGATCACATATCATGCAGTCATGCATATTATCATACTAGAATGCAAAGACTTGGCAGTGCAATTTCAGTTTGTACATCAAACAACTCTTGCTACCAAACCATTTATGTTTTAAATGATGGCCATATTATGTTGTCTGAGTTCTGTTTGAGCATGTCTAGTGTGAAGGCATAATTTCCTTTCCAAGGTATGCAATATTTGCATGGTGTCTAACTGTTACACTCACACGTGCATCATTTCATCAAACACGTCTGCCCATGTACTCACTTGCAGTCCTCGCTCTCCAGCAGGCTCCGGTATGTGTTGATCTCACACTCCAGCCGGGCACGCACATCCAGCAGCACCTGGTACTCCTGGTTCTGCCGCTCCAGGTCACTGCGGATCTCCGCCAGCTGGGACTCCACGTTGGTGATCAGGCTCTGCACCTGGGACAGCTGGGAGCTGTAGCGGGCCTCACTCTCTGTCAGCGTGTTTTCCAGAGAGTCTCGCTGTGGTGGAGAAGATTGGGAATGTCAGAGAGCTGCTCCTTCAAAGGGTTTCTTCACAGGATTACAAGGAAGTCACAAGCTCCAAGAGCTAAGGAGAGTGTGTGGCCCCAAGCACATCCCCGGGACTCTGCCTCCCAAGTTCCCGTCGCTCACCAGCAGGTCTGAACAATACACACCAGGTTGTGCTGGGCCTGCAGCTCGATCTCCAGGGCGTTGACTGTGCGTCTCAGCTCGATGATCTCCGCCTGGTAGGACTGCAGCTGCTCTGAGCTGGATACCACCTGCTTGTTCAGCTCCTCGGTCTGAAACACCCAAGGGGAGAAAGGATCAGACCCTGCCTCCGGGGCCCTGGGGGGCCTTGGGTCCTGAGGGGCCACATGCTTAGATGCCCACCTGCGTGGTGAACCATTGCTCCACTTCCCTGCGGTTGGTTTCCACCAGGGCCTCATACTGACTCCTGGTCTCGTTCAGCACCCGATTCAGGTCCACAGTGGGAGCAGCATCCACCTCCACATTGAGGCGGTCTCCAAGCTGGCAGCGCAGGGTATTGACCTCCTATGGATGCAGAAAATACAAGAGTTACTATGCTCAGCAAAGAATGAACTCTAAGGAATGGCATTGCTTGTTGAAACCCTGTTAGTCTATTTTCTCGGAAAAGAAACTTTGAGTGGAGCAGTTTGTGACAGCTCAAGGCACTCCATGTGGCATAGCCCCCTCCCCACCATCTGCTGTGCCATGGCACTTGGCTTCAGAAAAAAATCCCAAAAGTTTGCTTGGATGCCACTGAAGGATGAACTAATTGATATTCAACTTTCCCAGTTTACAATTGGCTGTGAGGACCTCAGAATGCCAAAAAAAATAGGCTGTGCAATTTCAGACCATATATCAAAAAATTCTTGCTGTCAAGTAAGAGGTAAGAGCATGTCATGGCCCCTCCCAAGAGAGAGGAAGAATCTCACAAACACTCTTCACCAATACTTTGAAAGAGTAGAGACTCACATTTATAAGGTTTGATATTTTTTTTCTTGGCCTTTGCCAAAAAAAAAAAAAAAAGACTTTACAAAGCAATAACACTGCAATGCTAGGACTCATTCTACAACTATTGATCAACTGCAAGCACATGGAGCTGCTCCGGGCAACTCAAATAATGTGCTAGTTTAAAGTGAAAGATGTTTCCTGTCTGGGAACATGAACAGGTCTTATCTCTCTCCAATTTTTCTCTTACCGTGATGTTTTCAAAGGAAACCCTCAGTCTTGTACTCATACTCTGCATTCTGCTGCCCCAAATCACTAAAGCAACCCTGAGCCAGAGGCTGAGACAGGTTTGTGCATTTCTCATTTCTAGTCTCACCTGCTCATGGTTGCTCTTGAGGCAGAGCAGCTCCTCCTTCAGGGACTCCACCTGGGCCTCCAGGTCGGACTTGCACAGGGTCAGCTCATCCAGGATCCTGCGCAGACCGTTGATGTCCGACTCCACCAGCTGCCGCAGGGACAGCTCGGTCTGGTACCTGCGCAAGGACAGGGTCAGAGTACTACCTGGTAGATCTTCAAGACTCACAGGAATGATTTTTGATAACCTCATGTGCCTTATCTTTCCACTTTCTGTAATGAATAGGCCCAGGAGACAGAGGTTTCTGGAGGCTCCATCAATACCCAATATTCATCCCAAAACAAACAGATTGATGTGAGTCCTCATCCATTTTTGCATTTCTTTGCTTGGTTCTCCCCAGTCCTCTGCAGAATCCTTCACAACAAGTGGGTAGATCTGTTTTCAGATGGAAATCCCTTTTCTTTAAAGATTAAACAGAAGCAATTGACACTAGTGCAAATTCCGAACAACTCACTTGGTTCTGAAATCATCCGCAGCCAGCTTGGCGTTGTCGATCTGCACCACAAGCCTGGCATTCTCAGACTTGGTACACAGGATCTGGGGAGTGAGAGGTGGCTTAGTGAGGACTGAAAATAAATATGAAATCATCAACTTTTTAAAAATGACTTAAGCCATTTTGAAATAAAAGAGGAAGCAAGAATTATGACAGCACAGAAGCAAGAAACACACTTCTCTATCACAGACAGAATCACAGCAAACTCTCTTGCTTGGAGATGACAGCAATGCCGCTCACCTTCTGCTGGAGCTCCTCAATGGTCTTAAAATAGGACTGGTAACTGGGGCACAGCAAGGGCTCCTGCTGCTGAGACCGCTCCC
This sequence comes from Homo sapiens, assembly GCF_000001405.40. NCBI lineage: Eukaryota > Metazoa > Chordata > Mammalia > Primates > Hominidae > Homo > Homo sapiens. The sequence goes on along the minus strand of NW_003315953.2, from coordinate 35,686 downwards.
GGATGAGGTTCTCCAGCTCCGCGTTGTCCCGCTCCAGCTGACGCACTTTCTCCAGGTAGCTGGCCAGGCGGTCGTTCAGGAACTGCATAGTCTCCTTCTCGCTACCATTGAAGGAGCCCTCGCAGAACCAGTTGCAGTTGCTCACATTGGCGGGGATGTTGCAGGCCCCGGGCAGGGTGCAGCTGTGGCAGCTGGGGGGCACGCAGGGCCGGGAGGAGCAGCTGGTGCGGCAGCTCAGGCTGGGCAGGCAGAAGTTGTAGGGCATAGTGCTGGGAGGGAGGGAGTGAGTGCCTGGCTGAAGACAGAGTCTAAATTCTCCAAGCCACAGAGCTGTGGGTCTCCTTCCTCTAGGGAGCATTTATATCCCACTGCAGAGGGTGTGGACACAGTATGTAATGTCTTTTTTCTTTTTATTTCTTCACTTCTTTTCAAACGCCCTTTCCTTCAGTCTGTTATTTGCCTTCCTCTGAAGAGTCCCTTCTCCCATAAAATTCTTTACTTGGGCTTCTTGCTAAGTCAGGACTCCTCCGCAGACAGTCCACCCATGAAATCAGAGTTCTGTGGTAGGCCTTCAAAGAGGCTACACAGTCCAGCCCAAGTATCTGCCCTCATTAATTGAGGTGTTGATCCATCCGATGACATTCTTTTGTGTCACATAATTCTGCAGGCCCATAAACATACTCATGTCCTGGTCCACCTGCCGTTTCTAGGGAGAAACACGGATTGATTTGAGGAAGAAGTTGCATTAAGAGGCCACAGTGGACTGTCTTTCCCTCTGCATTTAGAGAAGAATCTTCAAATGATGGAGCATTCTGTGCCTTGGAAGCCTTAAGGTGGATGATTAGAATCAATGGAGGACACGACTGAAAAGATTAGACAGCGATTTGTGTTTTACGGGTCCGTGTAATACTTCCCCCCCACCACCACATATTACTTAAGAAAATTGTAGAGGAGAGAATTTTAAAGGTAGAGGCTTTGATAACTAGTTGGAGAACAAGAAGTTTCTGGGGTAAGAGATCGTTTTGAAAGAGGCTGAAAAGTGCAAACCGAGAGAGCCATAAAAAACACATTTAAGGCTGGGCACAATGGCTCACGCCTGTAATCTCAATACTTTGGGAGGCCGAGGCCGGCGGATCACGAGGTCTAGAGATAGAGACCATCCTGGCCAACATAGTGAAACCCATCTCTACTAAAAATACAAAAAAATTAGCTGGGCATGGTGGCACCCACCTGTAGTCCCAGCTACTCGGGAAGCTGAGGCAGGAGAATCACTTGAACCTGGGAGGTGAAGGTTGCAGTAAGCCGAGATGGTGCCACTGCACTCCAGCCTGGTGACAGAGCAAGACTCCATCTCAAAATACAAAACAAAACAAAAAAAATGCATTTAAATAATCTAGGAAAGATATTCAGGGGCAGAGAGAAAGGAATAAGGAGGTCTTTGTCAAACATTTCCTAAGGTTATCCATAGTATCCGAACAGAGTAGATGGATATGTTAGGAAAGTCAGGAGATAGCCCAAAGGGGCCTCCACGGCCTGAAATCACTTGTAGTTGATCTTTAAACTTCATATGAATTGACCCTATATTCCATAATATATCCATGTTGGCTTTAATCTTTATATATATATATATATATATATATATATATATATATATATATATATAATTTTTTTTTTTTTCAGATGGAGTCTTGCTCTGTCACCCAGGCTGGAGTGCAGTGGAGCGATCTCAGCTCACTGCAAGCTCCGCCTCCCAGATTCATGCCATTCTCCTGCCTCAGCCTCCTGAGTAGCTAGGACTACAGGTGCCCACCACCACGCCCGGCTAATTTTTTGTATTTTTAGTAGAGATGGAGTTTCACCGTGTTAGCAAGGATGGTCTCAATCTCCTGACCTCGTGATCCACCCGCCTCAGCCTCCCAAAGTGCTGGGATTACAGGCGTGAGCCACCGCGCCCAGCCAGCTTTAATGTTTTTAAAAAGCCCCTTTTAAATTTCCAGTTAAACTTTCAAATACTTTGCTTAATTCTCTAAGAGAAATGGATACATCAGGAAGATGTACCATATTCTGTCCTGGGCTTCCCATCTCCAGCCCGAGTGGAGATGCCACCTGCTTTAAGAACCAAAGGTCTAAAGGTACCAAAGGAGGTCTCTGTGGTTGTGTAATTAAATCCAAGGACCTGGGCACCAGGAAAGAAAATGCTGAGCACGGCATGAGCAAGGGGGTTTTGCAAGGCAAGCTGGAGTCATTTGGGGTTGCTTTGGGAGGTGAAGGAAGGCACTAGAAGATCTGAGGAAGAGGTAGCCAAAGTTCTGAATATATAAAAGTTGCAGCACCCCCATCTCCACTGTGGCTTTGGCTGCCAGCCAGAGCTGCCGTTTTATTGACAATTTATTGGAGTGCTTCTCCCATTGAGCTTTCATGATGGTATTCATGTTGCACTCTGCTTGAGTCTCAGATAAAAGGTCCTTCATCTACACTCCCCAAGACCATTATCACTGCTTATTATAATGCCATTCAGATGAAAAGCCCCACAGCACTACAAAGAAGATCTAGACTTATAATAAAATCAATACTTTCGTTTCCTTACAAGACAATTAAAGGGGGAGAAATAGGCGGGTCTACAGACTGTTACTCCTGAGACTCTCCAGAGGAAGGACGCAAGGCTAGGTGGCAGCTGTCTGTGGGGAGCTTCTGTCTCATTTCATCTGGGCTTGGGATGAATGGAAAGGCTCGTGCATCTGATTGATGAGCACTAGCTTGTAGATGACAGCATAGGCCTTCTGCTTCCTAACTCTTGTCAGCCTGCTCCAAGCACTGGCTTTCCAGCAAGCAGCTATTTCCTCAGCCCTTTCTTCTTCCCCAGTCAGGCAGGCTTTAACCTAAGCCCAAACTAAATGCCAGCAGTATTCTCCAAGCTCTTGATTCCTATCTACTGATTGGCTGGCATAGCCTCATGGAGACTGTAGTCAAAGAAGAGTGTTTAGGCTCTAAGTATGAGAAGATTCAAGGATTGTATTGACAAGAGAGCAAACATAGAATTTTTGTACAATGCAGAGAGATCAGAGAAATGGAAAGAGACGGAGACCAGGAGAGACAACAAGAAAAAGAAGAGACAAGGAAAAAAGTTGGGAGGAATCCTCAGCATCATGCAGCAAATCAGACAAAGTTAGCCCAGCTTCCGAGGGGCTAACCTGGAAAATGCAAAGCTGAGAAGAAGCCAAGACAAAATAAGCCAATAGACTGAGGAGTGGCCCACCGTGCTGAGTGTCCTGCAAGGCGTAAATGGAGTTGACTCATAAAAGATCTATGGACACAGGACTACAGCTTCTGAGGCCTCTGAAAGAAGTGACATTGTTCCAAGCTGTCCAGACCGAAGCATCACCTCTGTGATCAAGCTTGAGATTGTTTGTGGCTGAGAAATATACTGCCATCTACACACAGGCAGTGTAAAGTCTAAAAGGAGCGACACTGCCTGTTCCTGAAGGAATAAGAAGTGGGAAGAGAAGAAAGGAGAAATGAAGCAGGGAGAGTCAGTCCTGCACTGGCTGCAGGTCATGGCCAGTCAGCAGCCACACAGAAGATGTAGGAGAGAACAAGAAACCCCTGTTATCTTCTGGTTACTCCTAGATATTCCTTTTTCTACCTGCTGGTTGCCCTGCAGAATGTGAAATGGCACAAGAATTCAAGATGGGGACCACAGACAGACTAGCTGGTGAGTAAACACAATGCTGCCATCTCTTGTGAATCTAGCCTCTTTCTTGCAGTGTTTTCAAGATCTCAATGGGCTTGAGTGAATTTGCTCCTTGAATTAGTGGGGAAAATGGGACCCCAGGGTTGTAAGATCCCCATGACCTCACACAGGCGAGGGGTAGAATTCATGTATTCTCTTGGTTTCCTAGTTGGAATATTTGCAAATTTTTTTCATTCAAGGAGAAATTGAGCAGTCAATGGGCTATCAAACCCACATTCATTATCCAGTTCAATTTAATTCAGAACACATTGATTAGACAGCTTCTCTATGCTGAGCATATGACTAAACAGAAGAATCATAGTTCTGGTGAAAAAAATGTCTTTTTATGAACAATTCCGGCCAAGATGGGTCCTCAATATGTATGAGAAATAGCCAGAAGTTAAGGAAAGGAGATATTTAGAAGGTGTAAGATGGGCATTTAGAAATATGTTTGTATTCAGTGTAAATAGAAAACGGGTACTGGGTGCAGTGGCTTGCATCTGTAATCTCAGCACTTTGGGAGGCTGAGGTGGGAGAATCACTTGAGCCCATGAGTTCAAGACTAGCCTGGGCAATATAGCAAGACCCCATGTCTACAAAAAAAATTAAAAATGAGTTTCAAAATTAGCCGGACGTGGTGGCACATGCCTGTAATCCCAGCCACTTGGGAGGCTGAGGCAGGAAAATCTCTTGAACCCGGGAGGCGGAGGTTGCGGTGAGCGGAGATCACGCCATTGCACTCCAGCCTGGGCAACAAAAGCGAAACTCCATCTAAAAAAATAAAAATAAAATAAAATTTAAAAATGAGCCAGGCTTGGTAGAGCACATTTTAGTTCCAGATGCTCTGGAGGCTGAGGCAGGATGATTGCTTGAGCCCAGGAATTTGAGGTTACAGTGAGCCATGATCACACCTCGGCACTCCAGCCTGGGCGACAGCAAGACCCCATCTAAAAATTAAAAATAAATAAAAAGAAAACTGTACATGTGACATTATGGGCATTAGTCACTTGTTGAACATCTACTGTGTGCTTGGCACAGTCCCAGGGGCAGGGGACATGGTGGGGAGTGGGGGTATGTCATGTCCCTGCCCCCAGGAACTCTGAGTCCTGCTGAGCAGACAGGTCCACAGCTAGCATAATGTAATGTGATTGGGCCTTCCCCCAAAAATATCTCCTTCCCCTACCCACTCCATTTCTTCCTACACCCACCCCTGACCCAAACCCCATTCAGGGCATTCCAATCCAGCTCATGATTTTCAGCCACACGGCGAGGGGATGAAGCCATTTCAGGTTATGCACTTGATCCCAAAGAGTTTTTTGTGCTTCGCTCTCTAAGTGACTCATAAGCAGAATTCAGAGAACTGTTCTCATTAGAATCTTGTTCCCTTTAATAATCTAGTCTTCAGCCAGGCAGGGTAATGAATTGTTTTGGCATCTGGTTCTTGTTGCTTTGGAGACCACAGGAGAGGCGGTGGTGATGGCCCATCGCTTCAGCCCTGTGGCATCCCCACAGGATCCATGGGCATCAAGGTAAGTTTCAAAGCAAATGAAAGAGGCTTTTGCCAGGTGCAGCATAGGAAATCATTCCAGGGATGTGGTGTGGGCAGAAAAAGAAAAGCACCTACAGTAAATCAAGCAAATTGACAGAGGAAATAGAAAGGGGAATAAGGCTGGTGGAGGGAAACGGAGGGAGCACGCAGTCCTGCTGGTGAGTGGACACAGTTGTGCCCCCTTGAGACCAGAGAAACCTCCTGAGGGCAGAGGGCCTTGGAGACCAATGTGAATGACTGAGGCAGGTTGTATAGGATATCCAAGAACCAGGGAGGAAGGAAGGGAAAGGGAGGTTTGGATGCAATAACCAGCATCAAACGGGGGAGCCTCCAGGCAATGGCCAAAGGCCAGAAGCTGAGTCTAAAATGCTGATTGGGGACAGCACCGAGAAGGTCACCCCTAGGGAGATCCCAGACCCTAGGATACCTTTCCCGTAAAATCCATCCAGGATTTCAGAGTGGTCTGAACGTGAAGTTTTATCCACATGTACCTCCAGCAAGGCCCTCACAGTTGGGAACAGGGAAAGAGCAGGGAAAAAGAAATGAGAAGACTTGGGGTTGAGTGCGTGGAGCTGCCCCTCACCTGCTGTGAGGTGCAGAGGGGGCATTTCACCTCCCTACACCTGTACTTCTCCCACTGCACGATGGGGATTGTGATGTCTGTTCCCCTCTCTCAAGGTTGTTTGGGGCCTCCATTTGGATACAACACAAAGTACTTTAACAAGTGTTTTGTAAATGGTGAAACAATGAACATCTATAGGGATTCTGTTTCCCTCCTCCTCTTTCTCAATAGACAAGGTGGTTTTAAAATGGCAGGAAGTGAGTTGAGCTTCTTTGTCAACTCCTAGTTTATTAAAATTGCCAGAGTCCTCAAGCTTCAAGATCCTGTGAGATACTAAAGGACTTTTATTCCTTGTACCACCCTTTGTGGCATAAATTCTCAGAAACGTTTCTTCTAACATAAACATACTCATTTCCTTCAAGGAAAGGAATCAAAACAATGGGGTCATTATGATTCTATCATCCTTTTGACAAAATCTGAGACTTGGCCTCTGTAAAGCACAGTAGTTAAGAGCACAGTTGCTGGAGGCAGGCTGCTTGGATCTGAATCCTGGCTTCACCACCTAATAGCTGTGTGACCTTGGGCATGTTACTTAGCCTCTCTGAGTCTTGGCTACTTGTCTGCAAAATGAGAAAACCATAGCATTGGCTTTCTAGGATTGTTGTAATGATTAAATGAGTTTACCCATATGACTGTAGCTATAATTTAGACCAGCGCCTGGCTCATAGTAAGAGCTTGATGGATATATGGTTCTATGACAATGATGATGATGGTGAAGCTATATGATTTGATGATGATGATGATGATGATTCTGGTGATGGTGATGGTAATGATGACCTCTGTGGTTTCCAGGGAAACTCTTCACACACGACAAACACACAGATGTGCGTGCACACACACACATGTACTGTCTCATCAAAGCTAATCTTTTAATTAGAAATGAGAGAGCACTGGATGTGAACTTAAGAAACACAGGTCAATCACCCTGGGGCCCCACTGACTCACTTTATGTCACCAGCAGAATCCCTTAACCACTGAATGACTCACCTTCTCTCTCTCTCCCTTAAATGGGAAGGACAATGCTTGCCTGTGCCGTCATGGTGCAAGAATAAGTGGGTTTATTTTGTTAGACAGCTTTGAACTTGTTGGATGAAAGGAGCTATTTAAGTACAAAGGAGATGAGGGCAGCTGGGTCAGGTACTAAATTAAGACTAATCGAGATGGCTCTTCATTATTGAGAGCTTCTCTTGGGTAGGTGCCCAAGGGGTGTGTCACGTGTGCCAAAACAGTTTTACCACTTGAGAAAAAGAACAGAGGAGGGGAGGGCGTGGCAGCCTCTGACCCTTCTTGGGCTTCCTATGCTGGAAATCCCAGTGTCTCTCAAGCAGATCAGTCCTATGTACATGAGCAGTGACCAACAAGTAGGACGCTGGGCTTGAGAGCAGTTGGAGGCAGAGCAACAAGATTCTCACTTAAGCTCCCTCCAGCCTTGGGGCTCGGGACTGTGGTCACTCCAGCACCACACCGCTGTATCAGGAAGACCTGGATTAAACCAGAACCAGCTGTACTTGTAAATTTTTCAGCAAACTACAGTGATTCAGAGAATTCACAGAGGGAAAGGGAAGACCAAAACCAGCTCCTAAAGTAGATTTGGTGGTTCCACTTCAATGCCTGTGGTTTCACTGATCAATAAGACATAGAAAGCAGGGACGCACAGAGTTAGGGGGGCTACAGCCATCTCAACCAGCCCCATCAGTTCCCTAAGTGTTCCCCTCAACATCCCCATCAGTGATTCTGAAGCCTCTGCTTGTCTCCAAGGATAGGGAACTCACTGCTTCTCTTCTCTGGCCAGCTGTGATGCTGAATTCTGGAGATGTGCTGATTCTCAGCCACGGCTATCAAAATATGGAGCTTTTGATTCATGTTCTACCATCTGCAAATTCCAAGACAGACAGTTGCCATAAGGACTCACCAATGGGGGTTACTGGGGAGGTTGGATGGGTCAGCTTGTTTGGGCCTTTCTAGACTGATAGAAATAACTATCATGTAACATTTTCAGAGTTTTGCAATGTAAAAGAGAAAGGCTCTATCCTGATCTGATGGTATGAGGGATTCCTCACTGGAGGACATATCAGGACGGCAAGGCCAGCCCTTTCTGTAGAGGGTCTAGCTAGTCAAGGGCTCATTCCTCAAATAAACTTCCTAACCCAGTGTTTCTCAAACTTGAACCAACATCAGAATCACCTGCAAGTCATGCTAAAGCAGAATGCTGGTTCAGTAAGTCAGGGGTGGTGCTCAAGAATGTGCATGTCTAGCAAGTTCTCAGGTAATGCCAGTGCTACCTGCTGGCGGACCACGCTTTAAGAACCACTGTCCTAAACCTTCTCATGTTTAATTTGTTTCCCCCTCAAAGCTTCCAAAGAACGGGCTTTGGATCTGGTTCAAAGAGACTAGGTTTCAAGTCTTGACTCAGTAACCAACTGAGAATAATAACAGCTGCTTCTTCTTTGCAGGGCTGATGTGGTGCCCTGTGACACAATGTCGGCGAAGCCCCAGCCAGTGCCTTGTTCATAATGGGCATGTCATCCTAAAAGCTCAATTTAAGTTACCTGTTCTGGGGCTTCTGATTCATGTTCTACTGTCTACAAATTCCAAGCCAGACAGCTGCCAGGACTTACCAGTGGAGCTTACTGGGGAGCTTGGACGGGTCAGGTTGTTTGGGCCTTTCTAGACTGATGGCGATTACCATCAGTTAATATTTTCAGAGTTTTGCAACGGTCTGTGGTGCCGCAGATTTGAGCTCTTCCTTTACACAAGGACCAGGTGGCTTATCCAGATAAAAGGGAAATTTTACTTAGCGTCTATATTTTAAAAGCTCTATCTGTAAATCTGTCTCCAAATACACTTGGTGAGGTCCAAGGTTGGGTATCTCTCCTCTGTGCCACTTTGCCGCAGTCCCATTTTTAACTCTAGCCTTCACTGGCTTTGCCATCTCCCAGAACCACTCTGGCGAGCCAGCCACAACCCCCGTCTACAGAAGCATGTGGCTCAAGGAGTTCCCAGCAAGGCTCTCAGCATGGGACGGAGATGCTGAGGCTGGACTGCACTGGGCTCATTCTGCTGCAGAAGCGAAGTTTAATAGCAAAATAAAAACAAAAGTGCCTGCCCCATCTCAGAGAGATCAGGAGGCAACAGAAGAGAGAAAATGGAGCACTTGGGACACCTTGAGGGGAAGAAACAAATCCAGCCATAGGGGCTGAGCTGCTGGATTCAAACACCTATCCACAGAGTGGCACTGTCTCTCTTCAGTCTCCTGCCTGGCTGGCCAGGGAGGCAAGGCCCAGGTTAGCAGGCCTGCAGAGCAAAGCCTAACGAGCTGAAGACACCTCCCCTTTCCCAGCACCTCGGGCTGAGGAGTGTGTCAGTATCCAGTTGATGAGCAGGGCCCATGGGTGGCCCGGGAGCAGGGGGCGCAGGCTGCAGGGGCTGGACTAGGAGTGCTGAAGGCTGGGGTTGCACACGGGTTGCAGGGAAATCTGCATAGAGAAAAAAGGTGTTTGAAACATTGGCATGAGAAGTATGTGAAAGACAAAAGTATATTATAGACACTTTAGAATTAAAGTGCAAAAGAGGACCTTAGACCTTAGAGGTCCCTCTAAGCCTGAAAGGGGCAATGACGTGCCCACAGTCCACAGTGGAGCTGGGGCCAGAACTCAGTGTACCTGTGTGCCAGGCCAGGGTCACGTCCCATATGGAAGGAACACAGCAGAGAGAAAGGCAGAAAGGCCAGAGGAACAAGAATGGTCCAGATGTCAGCCACTGATTCCATTTAAACACAGCCCCTCATAGTGTTCCTTAGTGCTTAAAGGGGTATATCAGCCCTCTGATGCTTTTCACAGGGCTATTGTGGAACTAAAATGAAAGAGTCAGTGCACATGCCCTTAGCAATACTTTAAATGCTATGAGCACAAAGAATACTCGTTATTGGAATACTTCTCCTGGAGAGAATTTAGCAAAACCTGAATGTGCTGGGCATTCAGTATTTTAGCCCTCTATGGGAGTAGCCAGCAACTGGGAGCACAACGTGGTCAGCAAAACAAATGCCATGACCTGAAAACTCCTGTACACCCTCACCTACGCCTAGGCAGGCATTAGCTCACCAGGCCTAGTGGTAGCAAGTTTGTCTCCAAAGATGGGATCTGCAATGCCACCCCCACCTGGCCTCCAGAGCTCCTTTTAGGTCATTCCCAAGAGAAGTTATCTGTTTTTGCACACGGTGTTGACATAGACAACAGGGTACGTACTTGCAGTCCTCACTCTCCAGAAGGTTCCGGTATGTGGCAATCTCATTCTGCAGCCGGGCCTTCACATCCAGCAGCACCTGGTACTCCTGGTTCTGCCGCTCCAGGTCAGCCCGGATCTCAGACAGCTGTTCCTCCACATTGTTGATGAGGCTCTGCATCTGGGCCAGCTCTGTGCGGTAGCGGTCCTCGGCTTCACACAGGGAGTTCTGTAGACAGTCCTTCTATAATATCAAAGAAAGGAGGAAGCAAGTTAAAAATCATGGATCTCCAACCTCTTAAGATTGTGACACCCCAAGACATTGCCAGGTCCAGAGAGCAATCTAACTCCCTTTAGCTGTCTTCAGCCAGAATAACTAACACACTTCATGGTAGACCTTTAAGATCAGAGCCCTCTGACCTAAGTTAATGTTGATTCACTCAGCATCCACATCTACAGGGAAGTGCTTCCAAAAGAGTTGAAACCAAGGTTTAAGCTGAGTCCGTGGTTGGTATTCGAGGCCTGTACTGACCCCAGAGAGCTACTCATGGGTAGTGGGAGCCAAGCTGGGTCTCCCATGCGTGCAGAGGGACTCACCAGTGTGTGCTGAGCCTGAAGCTCCACCTCCAGGGCGTTCACCGAGCGTCTCAACTCCAGGATCTCTGACTGGCAGCACTGCAGCTCCTCAGAGCAGGACATGGCCTGCAGGCTGATGCCTTCAGACTGGAGCATAGAGAAACATGGTCACCTACCTGCCCAGATGGAGGCCAATCCCCACTGCTTAGCAGTCCCCCTCACCTGGGCTTGGAACCACTGCTCCACATCCTGGCGATTGGTCTCCACCATGGCCTCGTACTGGCCTCACGTCTCCCCCAGAACTCTACTCAGGTCAATGGTGGGCTCAATGTCCAGCTCTATCCGGAGCTTGTCTCCCAGCTGACCCCTTAGAGTGTGGGCTTCCTGTAGGCATCAGAGGAGTATGACCCGCCTGCAGGGCCCCCAACTGCCCTTCACCCAAACTCTCAACTCCCACTTTCCATCCTCCCCAGTAATTTCCCTGTGCTCCTCTGAAGATAAACCGCTGCCTGCACCAGCCTAGCAGCTTCCAGAAGCTGTGGATGAGAAGCAATCTCCCACCAAAAGCCAGAGCTCACCTGCAAAGCTTCAATCCCAAGCAGAAGGAAGCCTCCGTTTTTTCCCCCCAGATGAGCCTGAATTCACCTCCAGAAAGTCTCAATGCATCACACCAAGGGTCACACACCTGCTCATGGTTCTTCTTGAGGCAAAGCAGCTCCTCCTTCAGGGACTCCAGCTGGGCCTCCAGGTCACACTTGGCGAGGGTGAGGTTGTCTAGCACCCTGCGCAGGCCACAGATGTCAGCCTCCACCAGCTGTTGCAGCGAGCGCTCTCTCTCGTACCTGTAACAGGGAAAGTGCAGGAGTGACAGTTAGAGGGCAGGAAGGGGCACCAGGACATGACTCCCAGCTCGCAGCTGTAAGTCCACTGGCCTGCCCTTTGCCATCTAATTGTGAGTTGGCTTATCCTGTGTAGTGTGCTCAAAGCCCAGAAAGCAACAGGATGTTCCCCACTCAGTCAATACTAAGCACCTGAGATGAACCAAGGGGAGCAGCTGGTACTGAGGATACTGTGATGGACACACAGCCAGCACCTGCCTTTACACACAATGGCCCAAAAGGGAGGTGGCAAAGTAACCAGGCATTTGCAACACAGTGCAATCACTGCAGGCCCCTCTCTACAAGCCCCATACCCAAAGGGACCCTGGATTCCCTATTAGAGTAAAAGCCACATTGCCAGCATGAGAGGAAGGAAATGGCTTTCTTTAGCTCTAGAAGAGTGAGACTTGCACAGTGCCCCGAAGAAAGATGATAAAACACAATGCCCTTCCAGCACCCAGGGTAGACCCTCCTCAGGTGGTGTCAACCCTTTGACTTTCACATGTTTTCATCTTAGGCTATGGAGCATGATTTCTGCTATGAATTATCAGCACTCACAAATTAATCAAGCTGCAGCACAGAAACATATCCTTATTAAGGCAACAGTTTCACAGGAAATTGCTTCAAGAAAGGAAAATTTGGTACAAAATTTAAGGCCAAGTCCCAGCTCTGCCACTCGGTACCCACATGGCTTCTGGCAAGTCACACCAGCACCCCAAGCCTCAGGGTCCCCACCTGTGGAGGAGATTCTATCCCTGCCCGCCTGCTTCACAAGTTGCTTACCAGGTGGATGATGCATTCTAGCACATGTTGTAAACTGTTAATGCTAAACCACTGGAGAGCGGATAGTTTTTCAGGATCTTGAGCTTAATGCCCTTTGTTCTCTTCTGCTATAACTACTGGGTTGGGGTCTGGGTCAATGACATCCGATGCCACATGAGACAGAAGCAGCCAACTTGGCATTGTCCCATCCCCATCCAACCCCAACTCTCACTTGGCTCCTTCCCATCCCTGTCCAACCCCAACTCACTTGGTCCTGAAGTCATCTGCAGCCAATTTGGCATTGTCTATTTGCACAACCAGCCTATTGTTCTCCGATTTGGTGCACAGAATCTGGGGTAAGAAAGTAGGCTCAGTAAGTGACTTACTGATCCCAGAGACACCTATAGCCTCAGGTGAGAGGAAGTTTTATTGGCTGAAGTTGAACCTACAGCATCCGCCTGGACAACACAAACTCCCAAACGTGCAAGAGATGCTTTTGTGGTGTGGGAAGGAAGATGTGCAAGAGACTTCTTGGAAAAGGATGAAGACATAGAGTCAAAGGAACCAGGAGATGGAAGACAGTAGCAAACTGAACATATAACAAAGACTTGCTTTCATTTTGCCAGATATGATGCTTAGCCCAATATAAATAAGAAGATCTGGCCGGACGCAGTGGCTCATGCCTGTAATCCCCGCACTTTGGGAGACCAAGGCAGATGGATCACCTGAGGTCAGGAGTTCAAGACCAGCCTGGGCAACATGGTGAAACACCATCTCTACTAAAAATATAAAAGTTAGCTAGGAGTGGTGGCGCACACTTGTAATCCCAGCTACTCAGGAAGCTGAGACATGAGAATCACTTGAACCTGGGAGGCAGAGTTTGCAGTGAGCTGAGATTGCACCACTGCACTCCAGCCTGGGTGACAGAGCGAGACTTTGTCTCAAAAAAAAAAAAAAAAAAACTAGGCCACAGAACAGAGGACTGGCTATGAATGTTTTAGATAAAGTAGGATCTGTTCTAAAGAAGATCTTTCCTCTGGTTGTCCAACCTCCCCACAGGTCTTCTCTGAATCTAGCCAGGTTTCTGTAACCCCTATTTTGACATTCCTTGTCTTCTTGTCTCCAAAACTAAGATGTAGGCTCTTCAGAAGCTTTAACTGGATAATCAAAGGTGACAATAGATATGCATAAGAGGTTGATGCTGTTGTGTGGATAGACACTGCCTTGGCAAGGATGTTAGGAAATATTCCTTTTGCCCTGTTTACTGCACCAGAAGTTTCAGTATACTGCAACTTTCATAAACTCAGCACGGTTTTTGCATGGTTTTCATGAAAATAGCATGATTTTTGTGACTACGATTTAGGAATTTTATGTGCTGAAGTTAAGTAAGCATGAACTCAGAATCCTAGAGTGATAAATTCTACATCTCATCCTTTACAAATTCCCATTCACCTTCACTCAAGAGATTCTCTTCCCACATTAAAAGAAAAAAAAAATCCACTGCTGACCCAGGGTCAGTAATCTTTTTTTGTAAAGGGTCAGATAGTAAATACTTTAGGCTTTGCAGACCCTACAGTCTCCATTACAATGACTGAACTCTGCCACTGTAGTACAAAAGCAGCTGCAGACAACATACAAATGCATGAGCATGGCCATGAACCAATAAAACTTTATTTGCAAAAGCAGGTGGTGGGCCGGATTTGGCCGACAGGCAGTAAGCAGATTCCTGACCCCTGATCTGGTGCACCGCAAACCTCACCTTCTGCTGGAGCTCCTGGATGGTGCAGAAGTAGGACTGGTAGTTTCGGCACACGCTGGACTCGTGGCACTTGCTCCTCTCATGGAGTTTGGTCTCCAGTTCTGCATTGTCCCACTCCAGCTGGCGCACCTTCTCCAGGTAGTTGGCCAGGCGGTCGTTTAGGAACTGCATGGTCTCCTTCTCGTGGCCGTTCAGGGTGTTTTCGCGGTAGGCCCCACAGATTCCGATGTTGCCAGGAATGTGGCAGGTCCCTGGCAAGGGACAAGTGGTGTGGCAGGTTGGGGGCAGACAGAGGCTGAGGCGGCCCAGGGGAGTCGACCCCACACGGACTCGATTGGCATGTGCCACATTAGCCAAGAGGCACAGAGAGGCAGCGTTGGCCTCTGAAACCTGCCCGCTGAGGAGGGAACTGCAATGGTCAGAAGTCATGGTGCTAAAAGGCAAGATCCTGCTTTGCCCACAGTTGGATCTGCTTGACACCAAAATCTTCCTTCTCCTGTAGACCTTATATAAGCCTTAGTGGGTGTTGGTGCAAGAAAACTGGCATTTTCCTCATTAATATTTATGTCAATTGTTATACAATCACTCTATTAGTCAGTGGTTTTTGTTTCCTATAAAGAGTTAATGAGCTCATGAAAGAGGCCCTAACCTCTTTCTTCCCATCACTGCAGGGTCCTGGAAAACAGAGAAAACAAGGTCTTCTTCAAGCAGCCCACTTTCTGTGGCTGTGAAATCTTTCCCCTTCTGTCAGCTTATGTCTATGAAATAATCAAGAACTAAAGGCTCCTAAAATGTCCTGCAAGTCTCTCTCACTCCCACATTCTTTTCCTACCTCTGAATGTTCCCAATGCAGCAAAACCTAAAATATTAGTCAATCAGGCACATTGAAGAAAGGGAAAAATCATGATTTGTTTGTTTTGATAGATATTTGTAGAGTGCCCAGTGCGGAACAAACGCACATCTATGCTGTCTTGTAAGAAGGAGATTTTAGATTTTAATAAGAAAGATAAAAAAGTAAATGATCTTGATATTATGAAGACAGTAAAAGGAAGTATTTTTTTTTTTTTAAAAGACAGCTGCAAAGATTTCGAGGTGGAAGAGAGCTCACTGAGAGACCGGAAAAAGACTTCATGGAGTAGGGGATTTTCCAAATATGTTTTGAATGATATTTTTTATAAAGGGTTGGGGAATGAGCTTCTCTCATAGAGAACAAAATAAACACAATCAAACATTTGGAAAATGGAAAATAGTCTAGTTGTGTTGGTATTTATAATGGAGACATTATCCCCAAGCCCCGGAAAGTTGCATTGAGTCCAGGTTGTGAAAAGTCTTAAATACCAGGACCATGGTCTTGAGGCAAAGGTGAGTGAAAGGTAGGGATCTGCCCTGGAAGACGACTTTCAAGTATAAGGAAAAATAAATAGCCAGCTTCCTTTTGAAGGAAAGTAGCAGAAAAAAGGTGGAAAGTTCCTTTACACAAATTATTAGAAAACTGAAAATGAAACCTAAGTTCAAAATTAATCTTGGTGTTTGAAAACTAACACAGTTTTTAATACTCCTTGGGTTAAATAAGAAATCTAATTTAAAAATTTTTAAGTATTTTGAACTGAATTAAAATCAATACACAACCTATAAAACAGATGTTGGCAATTAAGACTTTCCCTGTGCATACGTGAAACAGATAAGCGTTTTGGGAGTGAGAAAAAAACGGCTCATAATAAAACTGATGGTTTGCAATTTTCAGAAAATAAAATTATGCTTCTGTGTACTGGAGTCTACAGGCTAATTAAGGCAGGCAGTGATTAACACTTTATGGTGTCTGTTCTCAGGGCCTCACCCACCTTCCCAGGCATCTTTCCTTTCTATTGACCCTTTCACCAGACTGAGTCCCTCATCACCCTTGTTTACAGAAGATACGTACTCAAGAACTTTGATCTTTCATCTTTTGAAATATTTTTGCATTTCTTTGAAATGCATCTACCTTGATTATCCATTGCTTGGGAGACTCTAGAACAAAATTTAAATTTCCTTAATCTTCAGACACACTCAGAGCATCAGAACCTTTATGGCCTCCCCTATTTCTAAAACAAATAAGCCAGTGGCCATTTGTTCAATACACCCTGGAAAAGGGCAGCTAGCCAGCTTCCAGTCTATGCTAACAAAGATGCTAATTTGACCGCATTCCTAAGATGAATGAATTCACCACGAGGGCCCTTGAAGCAGCAAGTGTGTTTCAGCTGGCACTACAACATAGCATCTCCAGGACGAAAGGGACTTCAGGGTCCTCTAGTCTAGTACCCATTTGCATTAAATCCCTTCGATGACCTTCCTCCAACTAGTCATCTAGTCCACCATTTTCCAGGAGAGCTTACACCATCAGTTCCTGTGGCTTACAAACAGCTTCCCAGGCTTTGTGCAAGACACTGGTATCCAGAAAATTAACAGCAGCTAGCTCAGCCTTAAGGCACTCACATTATAGAGAATTTTTAGAAAGTCTTCACAAATCTACCTTCGTGTTACCTCTCCCTATAGCTTTTGTTGGGTCATTCATTCATTCATTCAACAAATAGCTATGAAGTACCTACTCTGTGCCAACCAGGGGCTGAGCTGGAGGCTAGTAATACATTGGCAAGTAAGTCAGAGAGTTGGCCCTTTAGTTCATTTACTCTCCAGTTCTCCCCCATGGTGTCCCATACAGGATAAATCTAATCATTCTGCCATATTCTCAGCTCTTTGTGGCAGATGTGAGATTTCTTACTCCTGGTTCTGCATTCAGCATGGTTCAAAGTCCCCTTGCCATCCCAGGAATGTTTCCCTGGACATGCTCCATGATGTAACAGTTACTATCACTCTTAAGTGCGGGCTGTACAGTGGGATTTCTGATTAGTTTAGATTGAAAGGCTGCCAGTAGATGGCCAGAAAACCTTCTTGCCCAGGACTTTTGTGTAAACCATGCTGGAGCCACTGGCTATTCAGCCATGACAACCAGCCAGCCACCAGTTGGTCCCATATACAGTCAATGAGACGCATGGGGACCCTTCTCTGTAACTCTATACAGATGTGGGTGATATTCTCCAAGGCATGATTTGCCTTATCCTGGTGACTTACTCTGAATGTCTGATATTCCTGAACTCCTGTTATACCAAAGCCCTTCTCAAGGGGATGGGGGATGCAGAGATGAAAAGGAGAAATTTCCACCCTCAAAAAGCTGAGAGCAGAAAAAGAGGTCACGTAACTCAGTGGAGGGAGAAGTGACTGGAGCTTAGAGATATAGAGGGGCCATCAAAGACACTTTGTCTGGAACTTAAGATTGGGAAGACTTGGATGGGCAGGAAAGATGGGAGACAGTTTTCCAGAAAAAGAGGATGAACAGGCCAGGCGCAGTGGCTCGCGCCTGTAATCCTAGCACTTTGGGAAGCCGAGGCAAGCGGATCACGAGATCAAGGATCGAGACCATCCTGGCCAACATGGTGAAACCCCATCTCTACTAAAAATACAAAAATTTGCTGGGTGTGGTGGCACACGCCTGTAGTCCCAGATACTCGGGAGGTTGAGGCAGGAGAATTGCTTGAACCTGGGAGGTGGAGGTTGCAGTGAGCCGAGATCGAGCCACTGTGCTCCAGCCTGGGTGACAAAAAAAAAAAGAGGATGAACACAAGAAAACACTCAGAAGCAGAAGTGGGCTCAAGAGAACTGGGTACAACTTCAGAAATGCAACAGCCAACAACAGGCCTGTCCCAAGTACTGGACCCCCAAAGAAATGAGTTTGAATGACACAAAATGTCAACCCAAAGAGCCAAATTGCATTTCTGAAGCCTGTAAGAGTGAAGTTTGTACTCCTCTATGCTAAAAATATTGTCTGCTTCTATTTTCATAACATCTCCACCAGTGGTCAAACTTTAACCAGCATCAGAATCACCCAGAGGGCTTGCAAAAAATGCAGGTTTTCAGGCCCCACACCACAGTTTCTGATTCAAGCGGTCTGGGGTCAGGCCAGGGAGTCTGCATTTCTAACAAGTTCCCACATGACACTGATGCTGCTGGTCTGGGGACCACCCTTGGAAGACGGAATCACTGCTCCATAGCAATAGACAAGTTTTGTGGTGACTTCATCCTAGGTGAATGAAGCACCAGGTCACAAAACAGGATTTGATGAATTCAAGAGGAGCCAGTGTTTGGATTACTGTACTTCAAATCAGTTAGCATGCAGTTTTCTCCAATGTAATAAGCAAGTTCTGTTTGTTTTCCTAGTTTGCTCTTCTTTGCTGAGGTTTGTTTTAGGAGGATATCTAGGATGAAGGAGAGAGGAGAGACAAAAAGGAAAATATGCACACTGTGTTGCTTATGCCTGTGGGGAAGAGGCCAGTCCACGCGAAAAACAATGTTCATAAAGGACAGATAAAGGTCACATGAAGTAATATCTATTGACATCTATTATGTGAAGGGAACCGAGCTTGGCACTTGGTATACAATATTTTACTTAATTCTCTCTCACACATTCACAAATCTATACACGCAAATTAGATAGACACCTACTATGTGCGGCCTACTGTGTTATTATTTGACCACCTACTATGTGCCACCAAGTATTATACCATATGCTTCCCATATAGTTGTGTCTTTTCATCCTTATAACCACACTACAAAGCAGTTACAAGTATCCCACTGTAGAGTAAAGAAAACAAAGCTCAGAGCAGTTAGGGATGTTGTCTGAACTCACCAAGTTGGAATGAAAAGTATGGGCCTTGAAATGTCAGCCCAGGTCTGCCTGACCCTGAAGCCCAAGTTCTTTCTGCTCTGCCCAGTGACCCAGAAAGGGCCAGATAGTGGACTCTGGACTGAACACAAGGCCAACACTCCTAGACGCCAGCTGTCCAACTGGATTTATTCAACAAATAGCTATGAAGTT
The DNA here is from genome assembly GCF_000001405.40 of Homo sapiens. Taxonomy (NCBI): domain Eukaryota; kingdom Metazoa; phylum Chordata; class Mammalia; order Primates; family Hominidae; genus Homo; species Homo sapiens. The sequence continues at coordinate 16,680 of NW_003315953.2, read as the reverse complement.
CCTGCTCTGGGCCACACAACTTGCCTGAAGAGCTAGAAACAGAACAGAGTCCTCTGGAGGTTTTTGAGCAGATGAAAGAGAGAATCAAAGGAGAAATTTTAGAAAATTAATCCAGTGCCTGTCAACCTAAAATAATCAAAAGGCTCAGGATCTGGTTAAAAAGAGTTTTTTCAAGCATGGCATGTGAGAGCCGTCTTCTGGGGACACACGAACACCGAAGAATGGCAATCAGTACTCCCAGTGCAGGGGGAAAATGAAGATCACTTATATAGGCAAAAATAGAGGTGCTGAACAGAATTACGACGTTTTCCACACAAAGGCTAGTGTACAGATGTAAGATCTGATTGACCGCTATTGATTACACTCTCATGGGGTTGCTTAACATTCTATTGTAAAAAGGTAGCAGTCACAAGGGCCTCCTTCTCCAATGTCATTTACTCTAGGTTTGAATACAGACAAGGGAGTCTGGTTACTATGCAACATGTCAACACACAAGTCAGGAAGCAACTGTCTTTGCAGGAGAGAAGAAGAACAGCTATATCGCATGACCCAGTTTCCAAGGCTTAATTTTTCACTTCGGCATAATAAATTTAGAAAGCCCTGACATTTCATTTTCTTTTTTGTTTGTTTATTTGTTTTGTTTTTGTTGTTGTTATTGTTTTAGACGGAGTCTCGCTCTGTCGCCCAGGCTGGAGTGCAGTGGCGTGATCTCAGCTCACTACAACCTCCGCCTCCCGGGTTCAAGTGATTCTCCTGCCTCCGCCTCTGGCGTAGTTGGGATTACAGGCATGTGCCACCATGCTTGGCTGATTTTGTATTTTTAGTAGAGACGAGGTTTCACCATGTTGGTCAGGCTGGTCTCAAACTCCTGACCTCAGATGATCCACCTGCCTCGGCCTCCCAAAGTGCTAGGATTACACGCGTGAACCACTGCGCCCGGCCCCATTTTCCTTTTACCACTGCCCAGTGTGCACCCTGGAGTGGGAACACTCCATCTTCATTTCGTATGCTCTCTAGCATGCAATACAGTGCCTTGTACATAATATTTACTCAATAAATAGAACACAAAAGAGTGAAGGGCTGGTGGTGTGTGCAGAACAAACCTGGCACAGAAGAGAGCAGGAGGAGGCTCTTACAAGAATCCAGGCAGGATGTGATGGAACCCAAAACCAGCCACCAGCAGTGCTGAAGTAAAGGAAGGCACAAAGGACATAGATGCTGCAGAAGGACTCTACAAGACAGGGAGAATTACTGTATATGGGGTCAAAGGAGGAAGAGAAACCGAAAGTGGCCCCAAGGTCACCCCCAAGTTCCTAGGACAATTGTGTGCTTCAAGGGAGCTGAGAAGTCAAAGGAAAGAGCTGGCTAGAGCGGGAGAAGCTGCATTCAAGTTTGGAGAGGATGAGTGTGAAATATAGCTACCTGGGACTGGCCACTAGGGGGTCACAGACAAAGGCCTGGGGCCAGGGCAGAGCAGCCTGGGTCACTGAGAAACCCTCCTCCTCAGAAGCTAAAACGTATTACACCTGGCAGGCAGGTAAAGCAGGTAAGCTTAGCCCAGGGGCTCATACTTGAATAGGAACGGTGATTCTAACTGGGAGAGTCTGTGTATCACCCCCTAGCCCCAGTGGGGAGGTGATGTTTGGAATATCTAAAACAGATGGCAGGGAAGTTATTTTAGTTAGAGGAAGTGTCATTTGAAAACAAGCATAACCTGTATTTGAAATGAGCTGTCTTTTAGTCATGATACGAGTTTGGTATTTACATTTTTGAAAGTTAAAACATTAAGTGAGAAGGCAAGATATCTTTACATTTATTAAGTGGGAAGGCATGGTTATGAAACACTGAATTAGGTAGAAAAAAGATACATTAAAAATGGTTTAATTTAAACAGGCTGAGAACTTCATGAGCTTCAAGCTGAGCTCATGAAGATTATAAGTGGCCATGAGAACAGATGAAATTGATTTTGTTCTTGGTCAGGAAGACAAAGAGAAGATGCTGGGGGGAAGGAGGGGAGGGTGGGGCACACACCATCAGCCTTAGGTATCACATATCATCGTCTACAAAAAAACTATCCAAATAAAAAATGCTCCTGTTCAGGAAAGTCCAGAAATTCACTTCAATCTTCTTGGCTTCCCAGTGTAGACAGTGGTGGGAGCAGGAGTGGGCCCTTCCCCAGAGCTCTCTCGGTGACTGCAGTGTCCACCCCAGCAGCCTGTAGCTGTTTACCCTTTCTCCTTTCCACTTTGCTGGAATTTGTGAGAAATGGCATTTGGTGTCAAAAAATACATAAGTGCATGGGCCTCATGAGCCGCAACTGATGTTACCACGTGAAGGCTGGGAAGAAATATCACACATCAGCCCACAGGCAGTGCAGGATTGGTGAACTGAAGAGGGACGGGCTAAGCACTAGGTGGCTCAGAACCAGATGTGGCCCCCAGCCAAGGGAGCAGAAGCCTCAGGAGAAGGAAAATAAGAGACACCTGGTTGCAGTTATTGTGGCCAAAGCAAAGCCTATTGTGCCACATTCAGGGCTATATCCATCCAGTCGGTGAGAGTATGTGAGGCAGAGAGGCCAGGGACAGGCACAGAATGTCCAGGCGGGAGAATCACTTGCAAGAAAAGATGTCTGGGATTTGGTACCAGAGGGAGCCCTAAGCTCTCAGGCTAGGATAACGAATGTGAGTAAAACCCCAGGGTCCAGGTGTCCTGACTGCACTGGTTACCCACCTGCCAGCCTCTAGCCTTCATTTTCTATGTACCTGAGTGGCACCTCCTGTCACACCTAGCCATGGGACCTCATAGGTAGAGCTTGTTAAGGGTGTGACCTGGCCAAGAAAGGTGGGGACAGGTCGGATCTCCACAACCCCATCACACTGAGGGTCAGGGAGGGTCATGGCCACTTCTTAAAACATGACTCTTGTGGGTTCCTCATTAGAAGAGCCCACCAAACAGTCTTGTCCTCTGACAGCCCAATGAATGCTTTTTTGGATTCAGTTAGGCTACTTGGAGTGAGAAACAGGCCTAATGACAACAGAAGATGGCTTTTATTATTGCATGTACATGAACAAGGAATATGGCCAAACTTTCCAGCCACCAACGTAGAATCTAGGGCCCCGATGCTGAGAGTGGGTTCTGCTACTATCTCTTCAGCTCCTTTTTCTCTCTGGGAGGAAGAGATTGTACCTGCTGGTTCCTAGGGAGCCCCAATAAACCAATATCCACTGAACACCTTCTAGATGCCAGGAACATTAGATGCATTACCCCTCAACCACAGTGAGAGGGAAATACAACTATCCTACTTCCACAAACAAGGAATAGGTCTCAAGAGAATGCAGTGACCTGGCCAACTTCACTCAGCAAGGTGGGTTCAAATCCCACTTCAGAGTCACCAAGGTGGGATTTGAACCCAAGTTTCCCTGACCCTAGAGAAGATCCACCTCCACCACACTATGCCACCATGAAGAAGGACCAGTTTTTCATTGCTCTTTGCACCAGGGCACATGGACAAGCTGAGACCCAAGAGTTTCATTCTTCTGGACACACTTGGTGCTTGCCGTAAACTGACTAGCATGGCGTGGGAGGCAGCAGCCTCTCTGGGCTGCTCCTCCACCTGCTTATAACTGCATCTGGCTGTGAACCACCTTGGCCAGTGCCAAAGCCACATCTGAGAGGCAGGCAGGGACTTGGAGTGCTCTGATGGCAGCGGCAGCCCTCACCGCCAGCACCTCCAAGACAGCAGCAGAATAGACAACAGAAACATCAGTGGCAGCATCTCTCTAGAGAAAACTAAAGCCTAGAAGTGCCCCAGGACCAAGACCCCAGTCTCCAGTGCCCAATCTGGGCCTCTGCATTTGGGAGAGTGGGCGAGAATTCCATGGCTCCATGAAAGGGGCCAACTGGAGTGAGAGGAAAAACTTGGCAACTTGGCTCAGACAATTCTCAACACGACCTTCCTTTGACGATATTAGAATGCTAAGTGATGTGATTTTGCTCTTGGACAAAATAACAAGAGGCTGAAGATGCCAAAAGCATGGTAGGGACATGTTAGCTCTGAGCTGTTCTGAAAGAATTCAAACTTGGCAACTGGCATCACTTCCTTCCACCAGTCTATAGGGATCCCTGGGAAAGGTGAATACACATCCAACATCAGGAAGGGACCTTCATCCAGAGGCCCCAGAGCACCCCAGGGAGCTCCTGGAAGCAAGATGTCAGAGCCAGTGAGGACACAGGACCTGACGACCAGGACTCTCCGACATCTCACATACAACCAACACCGGGGAGACAGCACTTGGTGCAGGAAGGAGGTTTATTGACCATTTAATGCAGGGAACCCAGTTACATTTTTGGAGATTCTGAAACACTGGAATAGAACTAAAAGTACCAAGAAGAGACACCAGGAAAAATAATTGCTTTCATGGAAGATAATTACAACATTTTAGCAACAACAAAAAATACAGCTTAGAGGCATAGGCAGGGAGCCACTCCTTGGAAGTATCTGCTACCGGTTGATTTAGGGAAAATGCCTCAGTGAGTCTAGTCTTGAAGGAAGACTGGGCAAGGTGAGGGCACTCCTGACCCCAGTGCAACCAGCCTCAATCTCCTAACTCGGGCCTTCAGAATCATCTCCCCATGCTGGCTCCATGGCCAGAGGGAGACCCACCGGTGACAGGGCCACAGCTTGGACAAGAAGTACAGGAGGCAGGCGTGGAACAGGGATTGCAGGGGAGTCTGCAGGGAGAGAAAGAAGAGTTACATTAAAAAGATGTCTCAGTGATTGATGGACAAGGGTAAGATCAGGGTGAAGGCTGGGCCTGCCACCAACAAGGCACACAGACCAGAGAATCTATACCAACAGTTCTCTCATCTGTGTCTTTCTACATCCAGGAATCCTTGGGGAAGATTTGGCTTAGGGACCTGGCTATCATTTAGAGAACATTTTCTCAATAATCCAGTCTGCACAGACCAGGAGAGGTTAATGAGTCACTGAGCAAGAGAGCACAGGAAGGCTTGTTTGTTAAGATGATATCTTCTGCAAGCACTTCCATTACCTCTGAGGAATTGCCTGACAGTCATGTGTGTGGCTTAGGAATTGCCCAGATCACACGTACTTGCAGTCCTCGCTCTCCAGAAGGTTCCGGTATGTGGCAATCTCGTTCTCCAACCGGGCCTTCACGTCCAGCAGCACCTGGTACTCCTGGTTCTGCCGCTCCAGGTCGGCCCGGATCTCAGACAACTGCTCTTCCAAGTTGCTAATGAGGCTCTGCATCTGGGCCAGCTCTGTGCCGTAGCGGTCCTCCGCTTCACACAGGGAGTTCTGCAGACAGTCCTTCTGTAATGGGAAATAATGGGGTAAGAGATCCAGGTGCCCCAAAACTCAGCAGTGAAAATCATGACCAAACTCATCACACATAGGGCAAATTCCAAAATGTCATAGGACATTCTCAGAGCTCTGGAGAAATCACTGTCAACATGACCATGACTTCTCTCTCATGCACACAAATCTAACTTAAGGAACTGTCATGTTCATCCCTGTATCCCCAGTGCTTGACAAAAAGCAGGCACCTCGTAAAATCTTGTGGAGTGAGTGCCTGAACTTCCGCACTGTGTTGTAAAGGAAGTGGACTTGATTTTCTGAAGAAACCATTTCCCTGGGTCACACTGAACTTGACAGCAAGACGTCTCCATCGGGTATAGAGGACCCCAGATCTTGACTTAATGTTGAAGGAACTGATTTGTGAGACTTTAAGAGATGCTACTACCAGGACATGGCATGGGGCATTTGCAGTGCAGTGAGGGTGAAGGACACGTACCAAGGTGTGCTGGGCTTGGCGCTCCACCTCCAGGGCATTCACCGTGCATCTCAGCTCCAGGATCTCCGACTGGCAGCACTGCAGCTCCTCGGAGCAGGACATGGCCTGCAGGCTGATGCCTTCAGACTGGAGCACAGAGAAACACAGTCACCTCCCTGCTCAGATGGAGGCCAGGTACTCCCTGGCTCTGTAACCCCCACTCACCTGGGCTTGGAACCACTGTTCCACATCCTGGTGGTTGGTCTCCACCATGGCCTCGTACTGAGCCCGCATCTCCCCCAACACCCTGTTCAGGTCAATGGTGGGCTCAATGTCCAGCTCGATCCGGAACTTCTCCCCCAGCTGACTCCTCAGAATCTTTACTTCCTGCAGAAATGGAAGCGATAGACAGCCTGCGTAAGGAAACGGCCTTTGATGGAGCAGACAGCACCAGGACTCCGTCCCTGGCAAGCAGTAGGAGGGGAGTCCCACACATAAGCAAATGGGAAAGTCTTGTCCAGAGTGCATTTGGGAGAGCCCACCTGGACACCTTCCTCATGCCCAAGGCAAGTCTGCACTTTCCACAGAGGCCCTCTGGACCCTCAGACCCACCTCAGCCCTGCATCCTTAGGCCAGCTGAGCCCAGGCAATGCTCTGAGAGCCCCAGGGCCGGGGAGCTCCCCTGTCTGCCCAGCGCCCTCCCCAGGAGTCTGAGCAGCCAGGGCCACACCTGCTCGTGGTTGCTCTTGAGGGAGAGCTGCTCCTCCTTCAGGGACTCCTGCTGGGCCTCCAGGTCGGCCTTGGCCAGGGTCGCGTCATCCAGGAGCTTCTGCGTCCCGCACTTGTCCGCCTCCACCAGCTGGTGAAGGGAGCGCTCACTCTCCAGCCTTCCGTCACAGGAGGCACAGGGTCAAAAAGAATGCCCCAATAGCCCCTCTCAGCTGCCCTGGCTTCCTACCTCCCACACCACCTTGGATCCTTATTTGTTCACGTGGGCAGTATACACTATTCTCAACCCTGCAGCGACACGGTTTGTAGTCAGGACATTATGCCCATTGACCAGATGGAAGACTGAGGCTCAGAAACAAAACACGAGTTGTTCAGAATTCCATGCCCAGTTAATAGTAAATGCATGGACTCATCCTAAGTGTTCTGACTTCAAATGCAGCATTTATTCTGCCATAATAGGAGTCATTTGGCCAGGAAAAAGAATGGCTAAAAATAAGCCTCTGGACCTTCAGTTTGCTGCTTTTCCTCTTGGATTCATTATTTCTCGTTGTTTTCTTGCTTTTCCCCTTCATTCAAGCACAACTCTAGCTACCAAGGAGCTTCAATGACAATTCCTCCAGCTGATGGATTTGGCCAAGAGTCAGAGAGTCTAGCAACAACCTATGCATTGACAGTTTATTTTTGTGATGACTCAATTTTACTTCTGATTGAAAAGCAAAATCCTCTTATCTTCTAGATATGGGAGAAAGTGACATAGGTTCTAACCAATCTAGACTACAGCCCTTCTTTTTCTTTCAATGCTTATATTCTCTTTCCTCCTATATAATGACCATTTCTAGCAACAGGCTAATTTAAGGTGTGGAGAGAAATATTCTTCTAGTCAAAAACTGTTTTTGAACACCTACAATATAGACTGAGTAATGGGGCGGGCCCTTGGAAATACAGCAGGAGAGAAGTCACACTGACCCTCCTCATCCTGACTTACTTGATCCTAAAGTCATCAGCAGCCAGCTTCGCGTTGTCAATTTGTACAATCAGCCTGGCATTCTCAGCCTTGCTGCACAGGATCTGAGGAAAACGGAAAGACGGTTCACACACAAAGCACCATACTCTAAGCTCCCACTCCATGTGTGGTATTTACGCTCATGTCCAAGAGAAACCAAGAACCCAAAGCTCTCTGGACCTTATGCAGATTCCTCCTGCGAAGGCTTCTGCCTTCTCAGACCCAGCATGCCCAGGCGATCCCACACCTCACCTTCTGCTGGAGCTCCTCGATTGTACGGAAGTAGGACTGGTAGTCGGGGCACACGGTGGACTCGTGGCACTTGCTCCTCTCGAGGAGTGTGGTCTCCAGCTCTGCATTCTCCTGCTCCAGCTGGCGCACCTTCTCCAGGTAGTTGGCCAGGCGGTCATTCAGGAACTTCATGGTCTCCTTCTCATGGCCATTCAGGGTGTTTTTGCCGTAGGCCCCACAGATTCCGATGTTGCCGGGAATGTGACAGGTCCCTGGCAAGGGACAAGCAGTGTGACTGGTTGGGGGCAGACAGAGGCTGGGGCGGCCCAGGGGAGTCGACCCCACACGGACTCTGTTGGCGTGTGCCACGTTGGCCAAGAGGCACATGGAGGCAGCATTGGCCTCTGCCACAGGCTGGCACCCAACATCGATAGGAGAGACAAAGACATTTCTTGCTCCAGGAGCCATGGTGCAACCCAGAGGGCATGAGGAGGTGCTGTAGAAGGAGGTCATGGTGTAGGGCTGAGGCTGCACAGGAGCTTCAGATCAGCTGGGAAGGCTGAGCCACTGAGACTGAAGCCTCCTCTCCTCCCAACCCTTTTATACCCCATCCTGGGCGGGTGTTGGCTCCAGTGCTTTGACCTCCTGCCTTGATTATCTACCTGTTGTGGTGCCATCATCCTGTTACTCAGCTGCTGAGTTTACCATGAGAAGTTCCTCAGCTCATTAAAGCAATGTTGACAAATCTGAGATGCCTCTTGGCTCTTCCATATCAGGTTAGCTGTTGGTGGGAAGTCAGAGACTCACTGTTTCTGCTCAACAAACACCAGCAGTTGATTCAGGCCCCAATTGCTCTCTCTGGACTATGGTCTCTGTGGATGTGGTCACAATGAAGGCTCAAATCTTTCCGTCAGTAATTTGTGTAGCAGGAGACACAGAGAACCAATGGGACCCACTGGATCTTTCGCCTGTGCAAGACTGAATCAGCCTTTCCTTTGAAGAGAAAATATCAGTTAATAAAACCAATGCATCTACTGATATTTGACGATTGAGAGGCGCCTTTTTTTCTTTCTTCTTTCACATTGCATACTCCCTTGAGAAGCAATAACATCTGGAAGCAATGGCGCTAATTAAGTTTTGGTTGACTAGTCAGAATCAGCTATTCATTCATTTGTTCATTCATTCATTGGTTCAGCATGCTTCCTGAATATCCCCCATAACTCAGGCAGTGTGCTGGTTCCTGGACACGCAATGTTCCCTGTTCATCAGGAGTAAACAATGCCTCTGAAATCTCTGGATGTTCTACACAAACTTGAATGAGAACCATAGATCAACAAGAGTTAGTGAAAGACAGAGGATCTATAGTTCTGGCCAAGGAAGTATCTAGAAAGAAATCACTAACAAAGAAAAATCTTATTTGATCCAGGAAAGGGAGATTGGGCACAGAGCTCAAGCAGTATTCAAATGAAAGGTCCAGAACTAACATTGATTGAGTACTTAGGTGTGCTAGGCATTCTACTGTGTTCTTTCCTATCTAACCCTTACCACCTATGAGGTGGTTACTCATTGCCTCAATGTACAGATGAGAAAACTAGAGTGAAGTACATTTGCACATTTTCTGATTGACAGTTAGTGAACTGGCAAAGGCTCGATTCAGTCTCATGTCTGCTAGGCCCATTCTCTTTTCACTTCATCATGGCCCCCGGTGAGAACAACGGTGTCATTGCCCCGTCAGTGCTGGGCCTAAGGAGAGGGCAAGAAGGGGCTTAGTTACTGGATGAGAAATTGTGGTGAAAAGAAAATTACTGAAGGTCTTTGTGTTCCAGCAAAGGAAAAGATTTAAATACTATGGCAGTGACAACAAGAAAATGCACTTTAAAAAGTTAAACTAGGCCGGGCGCGGTGGCTCACGCCTGTAATCCCTGTACTTTGGGAGGCCAAGGCAGGCGGATCACCTGAGGTCAGGAGTTCGAGACCAGCATGAACAACATGGAGAAAACCGGTCTCTACTAAAAATATAAAATTAGCCGGGCATGGTGGTACATGCCTGTAATCCCAGCTACTCAGGAGGCTGAGGAGGAGAATTGCTTGAACCCGGGAGGCGGAGGTTTCCGTGAGCCAAGATTGCGCCATTGCACTCCAGCCTGAGCAACAAGATTGACACTTTGTCTCAAAAAAGAAAAAAAAAGTTACGCTAGTTTGTAACATATGCATCATTTAAGACAGGGTGCGTCCTGAGAAATGCGTCGTTAAGAGATTTCTTCACTGTGGAAACATTATAGGGGGAACTCACACAAACCTAGATGGTAGAGCCTACTACACACCTAGACTGTATAGCACAGCCTATAGCACCTGGCTACAAACCTGTACAGCATGTTGCTGTACTGAGTATCATAGGCAACTATTATTAACACGATAATATTTGTGTATCTAAACATAGAAAAGGTAATGCATTGCACTACGACATTATAACCACTTCCACATCACTAGAGAATAGGAATTTTCAGCATCATTATAATCTTGTGGGACCACCGCCCGTATATGTGGTCTGTCGTTGACAGAAACATTCTGACTGTATATCCCAAATCCCAGAGATTTCCAGTAGAGCTGGAAAACAAGTCAACCAATGGGGGTGTGGCCAGGAGTCATCCCTCCCAAGTGGTAGAGGGAAACCAGAAGGACCATGGGACAAGCTCTAAAAGAGTATAAATAAACTCTTTAAAAAAAAAAAAATCCCAATTAGTGGGAAAGTAAATGGCTGATACTAGTAGCAAAACCTTAAGTCTTTGAAATTGACATACTGGAAATGAGCCATTATTAAGATTTTAAATGAAAATAATAGGATTTAGACATAAAATAGGAAGCAAAATACAGTAAACAGAAATCGTGTAGCCAAATATGCATCAAATATGCATTCCCTTCAGCTACACTTTTTTCCTCTGAAATACAAGTTTTAGAAAATCTTAGAAGAGGGGTGGGCGCAGGACTTAATGCTGGGAAGCAACAACTTTGGGGCTGAATTTACTTGAATGGATTACAAATTGCATTGTTACACAGCTAAAAAAAACTTTATGTATGAAAAATGATAATAGCCTTACACTGAGTACAAATAATACTTAAAAGCATGTGAAGATGTGAGCATCTGTGATGTTACTTATAAAAAAAAAGTTTAGGTTTTTTTCCGTAAGTTATTGGGGTACAGGTGGTATTTTTTCCATAAGTGGTGGGGTTTTTTTCCATAAGTATTGGGGCACAGGTGGGTTACGTGAGTAAGTTCTTTGGTGGTGATTTGTGAGATTTTGGTGCACCCATCAGCCAAGCAGTATACACTGCATCCTATTTGTAGTCTTTTATCCCTCACCCGCTCCCTTCCCCCGAAGTCCTCAAAGTCCATTGTATCATTCTTATGCCTTTGCATCCTCATAGCTTAGCTCCCACATATCAGTGACAATATATGATGTTTGGTTTTCCATTCCTGAGTTACTTCACTTAGAATAATAGTCTCCAATCTCATCCAGGTCACTACAAGTGCCATTAATTCATCCTTTTTATGGCTGAGTAGTATTTCATCATATATATGTACCACAGTTTCTTTTTTTTTTTTTTTGAGATAGAGCTTCACTCTTGTAACCCAGGCTGGAGTGCAGTGGCACCATCTCGGCTCACTGCAACCTCCACCTCCCAGGTTCAAGAGATTCTCCTGCCTCAGCTTCCCGAGTAGCTGGGATTACAGGTGCCACCACCATGCCCAGCTAATTTTTGTATTTTTAGTAAAGAAGGTGTTTCGCCATGTTGGCCAGGCTGGTCTTGAACTCCTGACCTCAGGTGATCCACCCGCCTTGGCCTCCCAAAGTGCTGGGATTACAGGTGTGAGCCACTGTGCCCAGCCCACAGTGTCTTTATCCACTCACTGATGGATGGGCATTTGGGTTGGTTCTGTGATTTTGCAATTGTGAATTGTGCTGCTACAAATGTGTGTGTGCAAGTATCTTTTTAGCATAATGACTTCTTTTCCTCTGAGTAGATACCCAGTAGTGGGATTGTTGGATCAAATGATAGTTCTACTTTTAGTTCTTTAAGGAATCTCCACACTGTTTTCCATAGTGGCTGTACTAGTTTACGTTCCCACCAGCCATGTAGAAGTGTCCCCTGATCACCACATCCACTCCAACATCTATTGTTTTTTTATTTTTTTGATTATGGCCATTCTTGCAGGAGCAAGGTCGTATCGCATTGTGATTTCGATTTGCATTTCCCTGATCATTAGTGATGTTGAGCATTTTTTTAAAGTTTATATATGTATCTTTTGAAGTATTGAAAGGAAACTAGTACTTTATATTCTTTATCATATCATGTTTTATAATTGTTGAATATGTTCCTGTTTATTTTTCTCTGTCCTGTTGTGTAGCCTTAAGAAGTGTTTCAAAAAAAAAACCAAACATATCTGAATGTATAAAATAAGAGTAAATGCCCTACAAGTTATGATGCCACATTATACATAAAACTGTGTGCATATATTTTTAAACAGCATAAATACATCTTTGCTCTGAGAAAAAGTTGAACATGCATCCCCGTGAAAACCACAAGGGAGTCAGGGGATGATGGTGTTGATGAAACCTGGGCTCTTGGAATTCTCTCAAGGAGAAATAAGGGGTCTGGAATTCTTCCCAAGAGGAAAACCCACTGTGGGTCAGCTGTGGCTCCAGCGGCCCTGAGGTCAGCTATGACTCATTCTTTACTGGGGCAATCCTTAGAGGGCCTCTCCCTGCCAGGCCATCCCTCAGAGGCCTCTGGGTGCAATCTGCATTTTCCATCTTCAAAGACCCCTTTGTTCCTATCTTCCGCCTCAACACATAGCATCACTATAATCCAGAGAATTGAAGCATTAAAATTCTTCCCTTTGATTTGCTAAATAGGAACCCTCTCTTGACCCTATCCTCTGGCAGGATTTTATCCCATTGGCTAAAATCATGGTTCCTTCTGTCTCAGAACATATGACACTTGTTAATTCTTAAGCATCACAGCTGAAGCTTTGCATCCTTTGCGTCCTGACACACCTCTCCAAAGCTTGATATGTGTCTCTGGCTTGGGCTCTGCATGGTCCATTTTGCATAATGACATAGACACTGCCTAGTCCTTCGTACAGCAGAGGGCTCTTCTGATTTTCTTTGGTCTCAAAGGAACAGGCAGTAGGTGGAAGGCATGAGGCAGGTGTCTGGGATGTACTCAGCTGTGTAGGTGGGAAGGAGCCCATCCTTGACATTGCAGATGATCAGATGAGCCTCCTCTTCCTCCCTTTTTTTTTTTTTTTTGAGACAGAGTCTCGCCCTATTACCCAGGCTGCAGTGCAATGCAATGCAATGGCATGATCTCGGCTCACTACGACCTCCACCTCCCGGGTTCAAACGATTCTCCTGCCTCAGCCTCCTTAGTAGCTGGGATTACAGGCACCCGCCACCACACCCAGCTAATTTTTGTATTTTTAGTAGAGATGGGGTTTCACCATGTTGGCCAGACTGGTCTTGAACTCCTGACCTCGTGATCCACCCACCTCAGCCTCCCAAAGTGCTGGGATTACAGGCATGAGCCACCGTGCCCGGCCCTCTTGCTCCTCTTTAAAAAGAGTTTCTGGCCCCTGAAAATAAACATATATTCCAAGTTGCATGAAGGGAGGTATCAGAGATGAAGAGAGAAGACAGAGGTAGTCCTGCAGCCCTCCTTCCTTCACAGGGGCCACCTCTTCTCTCTTGAGGATTAAAAGATTTTGAGCTGTAATCTCTCTTCAGGCAGAGGGGAAACACTGGGTTCAGAACAGCATCACTTGGTGCCACGGTGCAGACGCATCTCTGAGTCTGACCGTTCTGACGCATCTCTGAGTGAGACAGAAGCAGAGGCACTGGGCGGTCCACAGGGTGTGAGTCTAATCTGCAACCACCTGCTCCAGCTGCAGAGGAAAAATTCTGAAGACACCTAAGGAAACAGGAGCTGCCCACACACTGCATCCTGATGTGAATTACGCCAGGAAAACATCTGCAAACCACGACCAGCAGTGTGTCCTGATACCACTGTGCCTGCAAGGCTCTCAGACATGCTGGGTGAAAACAGAGTCTGAGGAAGGATAACCCAAAACACCTTTATCATTTCAAAAGTCCACCTCAGAAGGCTTTGAAAAAAAAAAAAAAGTCACCGTTTTCTTTTCTATTAAATAGGATTTTAAAATCTAGTTACTTGGGAAACTTTGGTTTGATTTTAAGTATTTTTAAATTATTATTCTGCTTTATTCTTTTTTTGTTTTTCTTTTCTTTTTAGATGGAGTTTTGCTCTTGTTGCCCAAGCTGGAGAGCAGTGGTCTGATCTTGGCTCACTGCAACCTCCGTCTCCTGGATTCAAGAGATTCTCCTGCCTCCGCCTCCTGAATAGCTGGGATTACAGGCGTACGCCACCACGTCCGGCTAATTTTTTGTATTTTTAGCAGAGATGGAGTTTCACCATGTTAGCCAGGCTGGTCTCCGACTCCTGACCTCAGGTGATCCACCCACCTCGGCCTCCCAAAGTGCTGGGATTACAGGAGTGAGCCACAGCGCCCTGCCTAGTTTGCTTTATTCTTATCCCAGGTCTTAAGGTCATCAGAGACTAAATACTGAAAAAGTTATCTTCATTTCCCCTCCCCTTTGTTCCCTGATCCTAGAGTTTCTTTATCTACATGCTAAGGCAGGAAATTTCCCCTTATTTACCTCATACCAAGACCTATTACAAAATCCTTTAATGCAGCATAGTAGAGGTTTAAGACAATGAATTTTGGATCCAGCCTGCCTGGGTTCAGATTCTGGTTCTATCATTTATTAGCTGTGTGAACTTGGGCTGGTGACTTGACCTCTCTGTGCCTCAAATTCTGCTTATGCACAATGGAGTGACAATAGCACCTAGCTAATGGATTTAAGTTTTAAAAAAATCCATACCTGTAAATCACGTAAAATAGTGTCTAGCACAGAGTACATGGTAAGCACTAAATAAGTGTTGTGTTTTTTAATGGATTTTACTGTTACTGGTGTGTTTACATGCTTACACCATTCATAATTCAAAAATGCTTATTAAATTACTTATTTTTTACTTATTTAAGTTAGCAAAGATCAGAAGTTTAGTCTTACTAAAAAGCTTTTGCACAGCAAAAGAAACAACAGAGTGAAAATACAACCTACTGAATGGGAGAAAGAATTGTAAATCATATATCTGATAAAGGGTTAGCCTCCAAAATATATAAGGAAGTCCTACAACTCAACTGTAAAAAATAATTTTTTTTAATTTAAAAATGGGCTAAGGATTTCTATAGACATTTCTCTAAAGTAGACGTACAAACGGCCATCAGGTATATGAAAAAATGCTCAAAGTCACTAGCCATAAGGGAAATGCAGATCAAAGCCATGAGACATCACTTCACACCACTCAGGATGGCTACTATCAAAAAAAAAAAAAGACAACTAGTATTGGTGAGGATATAGAGGAGCTGGAACCATTGCACGCTGTTGGGAAAATGCAAAATGACGCAGCCACTATGGAAAACAGTATGGAGATTCCTCAAAGAATTAAAAATAGAATTACCATATGAGCCAACAATCTCACTTCAGGGTATTTATCCAAAAGAATTGAAATTGGGATCTCAAAGAGATGTTAACACTCCTGTGGTCATTGCAGCAGGAGTCACAATAGCCAGAATGTGGAAACTACCTAAATGTCCGTTGACAGATAAATACAAAAAGAAATTGGTATGTGCAAACACTGGAATTCCATTCAGCCTTTAAAAAGGACGAAATTCTGCAATACGCAACGTGAATAAACCTCGAAGACGTTATGCTAAATAAAATAAGCCAATCACAGAAAGACAAATACTGCATGATTCTGCTTATATGAGGTATCTAAAATAGATTCAACCCTGAAGACATTATGCTAAATGAAATAAGCCGATCACAGAAAGACAAATACTGCATAATTCTGCTTATACAAGGTATTTAAAATAGGCAAATTCATAGAATCAAAGAGTGGAATGGTGGTTTCCAGAGGCTGTGGGAAAAGGGGAAATGGAAAGTTACTGTTCAATGAACATAAAGTTCCAGTCAAGCAAGATGTGTAAGGCCTAGAGATCTACTGTACTGCATTGTACCCAGAGTCCATAGTAATTTATTGTACACCTAAAATTTTATTAAGAGGGTAGCTCTCATGTTAGGTGTTCTTTCTATGATAAAGTAAAATAAAACAAAATAGATTAATGTCATGATTGTAGCAAAATAAAGAAAACATGCACTTTCATACACTGTTGAGGGGAAGAATAAGTTGTGCAACCTCTTTACAAAATAGTTCAGCAGTATCTGTTAAAATTACAAATGCTTTTTTTTTTTTTTTTTTGAGACGGAATCTCACTATATTGCCAGGCTAGGATGCAGTGGCATGATCTCAGCTCACTGCAACCTCCACCTCCCGGGTTCAAGCAATTCTCCTGCCTCAGCCTCCTGAGTAGCTAGGACTACAAGCACATGCCACCATGCCCAGCTAATTTTTGTGTTTTTTGTAGAGACGAGGTTTCACCATGTTGGCCTGGATGGTCTCGATCTCCTGACCTCATGATCCACCCGCCTCGGCCTCCCAAAGTGCTGGGATAACAGGTGTGAGCCACCATGCCCACATATACACTATCGACCAATAATTTCCGCCTATAGGAATTTAATCCTATAGACATACTTACATAGACAGAAGTATAAGGATAAAAAATATAAGGGTACCCTATAGAAGTCCTTGGGGTGTTAGGCCAGGAGCCATCTCTGCTGTTTTGTGCCTCCTTCAGCCTATGGATTTCCCCTCAATGTCCCCTCAATCCATTCCTCTGTGTCTCTCAGGGGACCATTTCCTATGGGTGTTAAGCTGTGGATGATC
>NW_003871092.1:0-70345 GCF_000001405.40 Homo sapiens | reverse complement strand
ACTTTCAAAAGATTCATAAGATTTCAGAAACAACTTCCCCTTTGACAATCGCAAAGGGAGTATGGAAAACAGTGTAAACAACAACAAGGAAAAGTCCTGCTGATTGGTGGAAACTTTGGAGGCCAGATGTATAAAAGGTCCAGATTGCAAGGGGTCATCAGATTCTGGGAAACTCACCTCTGAACAGAAGCCCACCCTCCACCCCTGACACCATGACCCACTGTTGCTCCCCTTGCTGTCAGCCTACATGCTGCAGGACCACCTGCTGCAGGACCACCTGCTGGAAGCCCACCACTGTGACCACCTGCAGCAGCACATCCTGCTGCCAGCCCGCCTGCTGTGTGTCCAGCTGCTGCCAGCCTTGCTGCCGCCCAACTTCCTGTCAAAACACCTGCTGTAGGACCACCTGCTGCCAGCCCACCTGTGTGACCAGCTGCTGCCAGCCTTCCTGCTGCAGCACACCCTGCTGCCAGCCCACCTGCTGTGGGTCCAGCTGCTGTGGCCAAACCAGCTGTGGGTCCAGCTGTGGCCAGAGCAGCTCCTGTGCACCTGTGTACTGCAGAAGAACCTGCTACTACCCCACGACTGTCTGCCTGCCTGGTTGCCTAAACCAGAGCTGTGGCTCCAACTGCTGCCAGCCGTGCTGCCGCCCAGCCTGCTGTGAGACCACCTGCTGCAGGACCACTTGCTTCCAGCCCACCTGTGTGTCCAGCTGCTGCCAGCCTTCTTGCTGCTGATCACGTTCCAAGAGAACCACCATCCTCACACAACAAATTTCTGCTCAACTGACTCATCTTTTGGGGGACTAATTTAATTTGCTGCTGACAGCCACCATGCTCTCACCCAAATTTTTATGAATTCTCTACATGTTTAAAATCTTGGAAATCTGCTTGAGGGAGGGCAGAATACTTCATCCTGATTCTCTTTTTCCTTACACCTTGTGGATCATGTGCCAGCTTCATCTGTTCTCAAGTTTGAGTCATGGTCTCAGCTTTGACTCTAAAGTCAAGAGCTTCATTCCCTGCTTCTAAGGAATTTAGGTTTCTGCAACTGATCGATGATCTTTGCAATCTTTTTTTTGTTTTCAATATCCTCCTCATCGTTCTTGTATCCTTCTTTCTTCTTTTCATGATAAATTTGTGTTGTGTCCCTGGTAGCAGAAATCCTTACCTATATGTTTCTGAATAAATTCTGAACCATCCTCATCTCATATAGTGTTTTGTTTTATTTGAAAGCACTCCTGATATGGGATTTACACACATATCACATACCATAGTTATTATCCAATTTGATTCTCAAAACAGGTGGTCATGCATTATTACCTTCATTTTTCACCTGAAAAAAAAATTAATATGTGATGTTATGTAGCTAATAAAGGACAGATTCTGATCCAAGCTGAGGTCCTCTCTTTCTGCCCAAGGACACTTACATTTAACTCTCAACATAGTAGAAATGACATTGGAAGTCAGCACTAGCAAGACATGCACTTGAGTTTATTTAACAATGAGAGAAATAATCTCTCATATTTGCAAATAATATTTTTATTCACAAAAAAATCCCAAATTATTTTTTCCCACACCTCAGTGAGCAACAGCTGCATGACATGGCAGCAGGGATTGCATTTAATGGCTGCCCTGAATGCAGGGATCTTTTTGTCTCAGCCTCTGACCAGCCAATCATTCAATTCATCCGCATCAAAAAGATGCTTGAGAATTCATTATATCATCATAAGAGAGAGTCTCATCTGAAGTGACTTATTCTCAGTATGATGTAAATAAAATTCTTACACAGCCTCCCCCTCCTGAATACCTGTTGACAAAGTCAATGAAACTAAGTTATTCCTTGTAAAATACAGACCACACCTTATGCCACATTAAGACAATTTGTCCCCTAATCGAAATGTTATGAGGAAAATTAAGTAAGGAATTAAGCTGGGAATTGAGAAAGTACGCAATGGGTATGTAAGACGTGGCACAATCCATAATCTCTAAACCAAGGAAGGGAATGAAAGAACCTTCTGAATTTTGTAAGACCAATATGAGGCATCTAAAGAAACTGAAAACGGTGTTTGCAGGGAAATCAGAAGAATGTAAGAAAGGAGCAAAGTAGAACGTGTGCATTCATAGAAGTCATGATAGACAGAGGTTGGTGCTTTTGGTTCTGAACTGGTGCAAGCTAAGCATTCACTCAGGGAAAGATAGATTGATACTGGCTCTGAGAGAAATACAAAGTTTGGGGACCTGGGTCACCTTCTTGCGACCTCCTACCAGCATGGGAGTGGTAGAAATACCTCTGATGAGCTAACAATGTAGATTTCCATGACAGATGCCAACTTCTGAGACTGTGAATCTAGAATGCTCTGAAGACTTGGCTGAGGGATGAAGGCCACTTACTGTGATCATCGTTCAGGGATGAAGTAAAGGACATGAAAACTAGGACATTCCTTTTGACTAGCATCAGTTATGAAAGGTGAATAAGTTCAGCATGTCTACTGTACAGTAGTGTCACTATAGTTGTAAACACTGTATCATACACCTGAAATTTGCCAAGAAGTTAGATCTTATATGTTCACACCACAAAAATAAAAAGGAAATGGTAACTACGTGGGCTAATAAACATGTTATTCACAATGGATATATATATTAGAGCATCATCTTCCATACCTGAAATAGACACAATTTTTATTTGTCAATTACACCTCAATACAGCTCGAAAAAGTATTTGGTTGATCTGGTTAATTATTACAAAAATATTCTTATCTTCAACATTAAAATTAGAAATTTTCTGAACAAAAACACTAATTCTGGGCTGCCTGCTATAGGAGACATATTGGCTAAATGCTTTGTGTACACTATTATTAATTCTTTTTTTTTTTTTTTGAGATGGAGTCTTGCTCTGTCACCCAGGCTGGGGTGCAGTGGTACAATCTTGACTCACTGCAAGCTCTGCCTCCCTGGTTCATGCCATTCTCCTGCCTCAGCCTCTCGAGTAGCTGGGACTATAAGCACCCGCCACCACGCCCGGCTAATTTTATGTATTTTTAGTAGAGACGGGGTTTCAACATTTTAGCCAGGATGGTCTCGATCTCCTGACCTTGTGATCCGCCCGCCTCGGCCTCCCAAAATGCTTGGATTACAGGCGTGAGCCACTGCACCCGGCTATTATTAATTCTTTAACAAACTTTCAAAACAGGTATTAATGTTCCCTTTGTAGAGATGAAAAAATTGAGGCTGAGAGAGTTAGTGTATTGTCATAGATTAGTTTCTCCCAGAAGAGACTCTGAGGAAAGCATTCCAGTGAAACTAGTTTATTCGGAAGTGCAGATCACACTGGTAGGGATTGGGGAAGTGATACAGAAAAGGGTACACTATCAAGTCAGTATCACAGTCACCAACTAAAGCTTAAACTAAAGGGAAAACTATCAGAAATGACAAAAAAACACACAGCTAGAGTTATCCTACTTCAGGAATGAGGAAGCTAGAGTCTTTATAAATCAGCTCTCCAGAATCATTGGTTGAGAGTTTTTCTCTGTGTTGCATTCACAGGTGACATGACTTCTTACAGCAGCAATACAAGAGCTCTTAGGCACAGAGATGCAGATTCTAACAGATGGAAATTAGTCCAAGCACACTAAGATCTAATATATATGGGTGCAGTCATGAAAACTTACCTATGATCTACAATTAGCTCCACTCAAGTAAAACCTTTGCTACTTAAATGTGATGGACAGGCACAAGCTCTAGAAGAAGGAAGAAGAGGAGGTGAGAAAGAGGAGTAAGAGAAGGGACAGAAGATGAGTGGAGGACAAAAGAAAGAAAGAGAGAGAGAGAAAGAGAAAAAGAAGGAAGGAAGGGAGAGAGAGAGAGAGAGAGAGAGAAAGAAAGAAAGAGAGAAAGAAAGAAAGAAGAAAGAAAGAAAGAGAAAGAAAGAAAGAAGAAGAAAGGAAGGAAGAAAGGAAGGAAGAGGAAGGAGAGAGAAGAAGGAAATGAAAAGAAAGGAGAGGAAGTGAGATGTAAAATGAAGGCCAATGAAATAAGCTACACTTACTGCTGCTATAGTACAGTGCACCTGAGATTCACAGTCTCCGTTTATTACCACCAGTTCTATTCTCCCTTCACCGCTGGCCAGCACTCTTCTTGGTCTGGATAACTGCCTGATAACTGCCTTGATAACTTCCTTCCTAAATTGTCTGAGCCTCTAGTTACTATACCACTGTCCACTGTGATTGCTGTTCTTACCGATTTGTAGTTATCACTGGACATGGACACACTATGAGATTCTCCAGTGTTATGGGTTAATTTGTGTCCCCCAAAACTCATATTCAAATAGAATCATTTAAAGTGTTATGTGATAAGGCAAGGTCATATTGGAAACAATTAGGCCTCTGATTAAATATGACTGATGTCTATATAAAAGGGGGAAATTCAGAGACAGCATGCATATAACAGAAAAATTATATCAAACACACATGGAAATGATAGACATCAACAAGTCAAGGAGAGAGACCTGGAACATGTACTTCCCTCACAGGCTTCAGATGAAAACAACATTGCCAAAACCTTAATTTCTGAACTGTGAAAAGATAAATTTAAGCCACTTGGTTTACAGTAATTTATTATGGCAGTGCTGGTAAGTTAATACACTTACTAAGTATCCTGAGCTATAGATATATTCTGCTACACTATATGGCTTAAAGATAATTACCCCTCACCAAATAGTAACTCCTTTCTCTGTCTGCTGCTCTGCTGACGGGAAGAGTCCAAAATGACTAGGCGATAACGATTCCTTTTGATTATAACAAAGAAACAGAGAAGCAAATACTATAATTTTTATTCACATGGAAATTTTAAAAAGCCAAAGTCATCTACTGGATTATAACTTGATAGAGTGATTAGCTGTTTGGAAATGAGTAAGCGGATATAATTGGGAGAGAATGGCATTAATTTCTATTTCCTAACCTGGTAATGGGGACATAGATGTATTTACAATGTAATACTATATCAGGTTGGAAATTAATAATTTGCATTCTTCTCAAGTGAATGATATACCTAGACAATGTTTTCAACATGTTAGAACTCCACGATGAATCAGGTGTCATCTCAACTCATCTAATCCCTTCATTGAAAAGAAATAGAAGAAATTACTTCTACTTACTTCTTCTTCTAGTTACTGCTAGTAACTAGGTTTAGGGCTAGAGCCACAGCACATGCTGGTTGGCCTGAATTTCAACGCTTACTTCTAGTTACTGCTAGTAACTAGGTTTAGGGCTAGAGCCAGAGCACATGCTGGTTGGCCTGAATCTCAAGAAGTTACGTGATAGAAAGTCCTCCATTCTCATCCCGGAAATCCCCACACTCCCAGACAAGTCAGAATGAATGGTCGTCCTAGGGCATACATTGCTTGATGCTGTCTAAATCTCAGCAGATTTCTCTGCATCCACCTGTTCTCGATCTGCTCTGTCGCATGGAACACACTGTGCAGTCACCGTCTTCCCAAGTGACATTCAAAGAACTGAAAGACACAGATGATGTGGGTGGCACAAAGAGATGCCTGTTAGTCTTGAGTCAGAATTTGGTGGGTGAATAGTCTTGGGCCCAGGCATGGATTCATTTTGTCACTGTAAATATATCAGCATCATGCTTCTCCCCACAGACACTTCCAAGTCTATATACAGCCAAACATGAGGCTGGCCAGAGAGAACTTCCTGAGCCCCCCGGATCAACAGGAACTGTCACATGACCAGATGATGGTCAGAGCAGGAATGATGCTGATGATGAGACGGGCTTCCTTTTATCTGAAACAAACTTTCTATGAGTAACTCACAATTAAGAAACAGATTAAACCCTTAGTTTAAAAGGTTCATAAGATTTCAGTAACAACTTCCCCTTTGACAATCCCAAATGGACTGTGGAAAACAATGTAAACAGCAACAAGGAAAAGTCCTGCTGATTGGTGGAAACTTTGGAGGCCAGGTGTATAAAAGGTCCAGATTGCAAGGGGTCATCAGATTTTGGGAAACTCACCTCTTAACAGAAGCCCACCCTCCATCCCTGACACCATGACCCACTGTTGCTCCCCTTGCTGTCAGCCTACCTGCTGCAGGACCACCTGCTGGCAGCCCACCACTGTGACCACCTGCAGCAGCACACCCTGCTGCCAGCCCTCCTGCTGTGTTTCCAGCTGCTGCCAGCCTTGCTGCCACCCAACTTGCTGTCAAAACACCTGCTGTAGGACCACCTGCTGCCAGCCCATCTGTGTGACCAGCTGCTGCCAGCCTTCCTGCTGTAGCACACCCTGCTGCCAGCCCACATGCTGTGGGTCCAGCTGTGGTCAGAGCAGCTCCTGTGCACCTGTGTACTGCAGAAGAACCTGCTACCACCCCACAAGTGTTTGTCTGCCTGGTTGCCTAAACCAGAGCTGTGGCTCCAACTGCTGCCAGCCCTGCTGCCGCCCAGCCTGCTGTGAGACCACCTGCTGCAGGACCACTTGTTTCCAGCCCACCTGTGTGTACAGCTGCTGCCAGCCTTCTTGCTGCTAATCAACTCCCAAGAGAACTACCATCCTCACACAACAACCTTCAGCTCAACTGACTTGTCTTTTGAGGGACTAATTTACTTTGCTGCTGACAGCCACCATGCTCTCACCCAAATTTTTATGAATTCTCTACATGTTTAAAATCTTGGGAATCTGCTTGAGGGAGGGCAGAATACTTCATCCTCATTCCCTCTTTCCTTACACCTTGTGGATCATGTGCCAGCTTCGTCTGTTCTTAATTTGGAGTCATGATCTCAGCTTTGTCTCAAAAATCAAGAGCTTCATTCTTTGCTTCTAAGGAATTTAGGTTTCTGCAACTGATCAATCATCTTTGCAATTATATTTTCATTTTAAATATCCTTCTCATGGTTCTTGTATCCTTCTTTCTTCTTTTCACGATAACTTTGGGTTATGTCTCTGGTAGCAGAGATTCTTACCTATATGTTTCTGAATAAACTCTGAACCATCTTCATCTCATATAGTGTTTTGTTTTATTTGAAAGCATTCCTGATATGGGATTTACACACATATCACATACCATAGGTATTATCCAATTTGATTCTCAAAACAGATGGTCGTGTATTATTAACTCCATTTTTTCAGCTGAGAACAATTTAATGTGTGATGTTATGTAGCTAGTAAAGGGCAGACTCTGGTCAAAGGTGAGGTCCTCTCTTTCTGCCCAAGGACACTTACGTTTAACTCCCAATATAGTAGAAAAGACACTGGAAGTCAGCACTAGCAAGACATGTACTTGAGTTTATTTAACAATGAGAGGAATAATCTGACATATTTGCAGATAACACTTTTGTTCACACACAAAAAAATCCCAAAGTAGTTCCCCACACCTCAGTGAGCAAAGGCTGCATGATATGCATTTAATGGCTGCCCTGAATGCAGAGATCTTTTTGTCTGAGCCTCTGACCAGCCATTCATTCAATTCATCTGCATCAAAAAATGCTTGAGAATTTATTGTGGACTCAGGAGACGGAGCCTCATCTGAAGAAACTTATTCTCAGTGTGATGTAAATAAAATTCTTATACAGCATCGGTCTCCTGAATACCAATTGACAAAGTAAATGAAACTAAGTTATTCATTGTAAAATACAGACCATACGTTATGCCACGTTAAGACAATTTGTCCCCTACTTGAAGTGTTATGAGTAAAATTATGTAAGAACAAAGCTGGGAATTGAGAAACTATGCAATGGGCATGTAAGACTTGGCACAACCCATAATCTCTGAGCTAAGGAAGGGAATAAAAACAACCTTCCACATTTTGTGAGGCCAATATGAAGAATCTAAAGAAATGAAAAACTTCTTTTTCCACGGAAATCAGAAGAATGTAAGAAAGGAGCAAGGTAGAACTTGTGCATTCATAGAAGACATAATAGACAGAGGTTGGTGCTTCGGGTCCTGAACTGATGTAAGATAACCATTCACTCATGAAAGGATTGATTGATGCTGGCTCTGAGAGAAATTGAAAAGTCGGGGACCTGGGGCACCTTCTTGGGGCCTCCTACCAGCAGGGGAGTGGTAGAAATACCTCTGATGAGCTAAAAATGTAGATTTCCATGACAGATGCCAACTTCCGAGACTGTGAATCTAGAATGCTCTGAAGACTTGGCTAAGAGACAACAGCCACTTACTGTCATCATCGTTCAGGGATGAAGTAAAGGAGATGAAAACTAGGACATTCTCTTTGACTAGCATCAGTTATGAAAGATGAATAAGTTCAGTAGGTCTAATGTACAGTAATATGACTATAGTTAAAAACACTTTATCATATACCTGAAATTTACTGAGAAGGTAGATCTTAAATGTTCACACCAGAAAAATAAAAAGGAAATGGTAACTAAGTGACCTAATAAATATGTTATTCACAATCAATATATATATCAGAGCATCACCTTCTATACCTGAAATGTACACAATTTTTGTTTGTCAATTATACCTCAATACAGCTAGAAAAAAACGTATTTAGTTGATCTATTTAATTATTACAAAAATATTCTTATCTTCAACATAAAACTTGGGAATTTTCTGAACAAAAAACACTAATTCTGTGTTGCCTGCTCTATGATGGGTACTGGATAAATGCTTTGTGTACATTATTATTAACTATTTAACAAACTTTCAAAATAGGTATTAATGTTCCTCTTGTAGAGATGAGAAATTTGAGGCTGAGTTAACGTATAGGCATAGATGAGTTTCTCCCAGAAGAGACTCTGAAAAAAAATTCCAGTGAAACTAGTTTACTGGGAAGTGCAGATCATACTGGTAGGGACTGGGGAAGTGATACAGAAAAGGGTACACTATTAAGTCAGTTTCACAGTCACCAACTAAAGCTTAAACTAAAGTGAAAATTATCAGAAATGATGAAAAACACATAGCTGGTATTATCCTACTTCAGGAATGAGGAAGCTAGAGTCTTTATAAATCAGCTCTCCAGAATCATTGGTTGAGTGTTTTTCTCTGTGTTGCATTCACAGGTGGCATGACTTTCTACAGCTGCAATACAAGAGCCCTTAGGCACAGAGATGCAGATTTTGACAGATAGAAATTGATCCAAGCACACTAACATGCAAGATATACGGGTGCAGTCATGAAAACTTGTCTACGATCTACAACTAGCTCCACTCAAGTCAAATATTTGCTACTTAAATAGAATGGACAGCCACAAGCTCTAGGAGAAAGAAGAAGAGGAAGAGAGGAAGCAGAGGAAGAGAAGGGACAGAAGATGAGAGGAGAAGGAAAGAGAAAAGAAGGAAAGAAAAACAGAAAGACAGAGAGAAGGAAGGAAGGAAGGACGGACAGGAGGGAGGGAAAAGAGGGAGCAGGGAGGAACCGAGGGAGGGAAAGGAAGGAAGGAAGGAAGGAAGGAAAGAGATCGAAAGAAAGAAAGAAAGAAAGAAAAAAGAAAGAAAGAAGAAAGAAAGAAAGAATAGAGAGAGAGAGAGAAGGGAAGGGAAGGGAGGGAGGCAGGAAGGGAGAAAAAGGAAGGAAGGAAGGAAAAGAAAGAAAGAAAGAAGAAGGAAAGGAAAAGAAAGGAGAGGAAGTGAGATATAAAATGAAGGCCAATTAAATAATCTACACTTACTTCTGCTATAATACAGTGCACCTAAGTTTCATAAACTCCGTTAATTACCAAGAGTTCTATTCTCCCTTCACCCCTGGCCAGCACTCTTTTTGGTCTAGATAACTGCTGATAGAGTAGCTCAGAGCATCCTTCCTGAAGGGTCTGAACCCCTGGTTACTATACCATTGTCCACCGTGATTGCTGTTTTTATTCATTTGTGGTTATCACTGGGCATGGACACACTATGAGATTCTGCAGTGTTATGGGTTCATTTGCGTCCCTCAAAATCCATATACAAATAGAACCATCTAAAATGTTATCTGATAAGACAAGGTCATATTGGAAACAATTAGGCCTCTGATTAAATATGACTGTGTCTATTCACAAGGGAGAAATTCAGAGACAGTATGGATATAATAGAAAAATTATGTCAAACACACTTGGAGATGATAGACTTCGACACGTCAGGGAGAGAGACCTGGAACAGATACTTCCCTCGCAGTCTTCAGATGAAAACAACATTGCCAACACCTTAATTTCAGAAAAGAGGCCTTCAGAACTTTGATAAATAAATTTAAGCCACTTTTTTTCAGTAATTCATCAGGGCAGTGCTAGTAAATTAATATACTCAGTAAATCTCCTGAGCTATAGATATATTCTGCTACACTATATGGCTTGAGGGTAATTATCCCTCACCAAATAGTAACTACTTTCTCTGTCTGCTGCTTTGCTTATATGAAGAGTCCAAAATGACTAGGCGATAAAGATTACTTTTGTTTATGCCAAAGAAATAGAGAAGCAAATACTATACTTTTTATTCACATGAAAATTTTAAAAAGCCAAAAGTTACCTACAGGATTACAACTGATAGAGTGATTAGCTGTCTTTGGGAAAGAGTAAGAGCATATAATTGGGAGAGAATGGAATTAATTTCTATTTCCTAACATAGATGTAATGGGACATAGATGTATTTACAATATAATACTATATCAAGTTGAAAATTAATAGTTTGCATTTTCTCAAATGAATGGTATACCTAGAAAATGTTTTAAACATGTTAGAACTCCATGATGAATCAGGCATCATCTCAACTCATCTAATTCCTTCATTAAAAAGAAATAGAGAGAGAACACATGATGCTTACTGTGCTGGTAACTGGGTTGCAGCTAGAGCCAGAGCACATGCTGGTTGGCCTGAATCTCAAGCAGTTATGTCATAGAGAGTCCTACATTCTCGTCCTGGAATCGCCACACTCACAGACAAGTCAGAATGAATGGTCACTCAGGGCATAGATTGCTTGATGTTGTCTAAATCCCAGTGAATTTCTCTGCATCCCCCTGCTCTCGATCTGCTCTGCCACATGGAACACACTGTGACAGACACCCTCTTCCCAAGTGACGTTCAAATAACTGAAAGGCACAGGTGGTGAGGGTGGTACAGAGAGATGCCTGTTAGTCTTGAGTCAGAATTTGGTGGGTGACTAGCCTTGGGCCCAGGCATGGATTCATTTTGTCACTGTAAATATATCAGCATCATGCTTCTCCCCACAGACACTTCCCAGTCTATATACAGCCAAACATGAGGCTGGCCAGAGAGCTTCCTGAGCCTCCCAGATCAACAGGAACTATCACATGACTAGATGATGGTCAGAATAGGAATGATGCTGATGATGAGACGGGCTTCCTTTTATCTGAAACAAAGTGTCTATGAGTAATTCACAATTAAGAAACAGATTAAACCTTAATCTGTTTAACCTTAAGGAAACAACTACCCTTTGAGAATCACAAACGGACTGTGGAAAACAAGATAAACAGCAACAAGGAAAAGTCCTGCTGATTGGTGGAAACTTTGGAGGCCAGGTGTATAAAAGGTCCAGAATGCAAGGGGTCATCAGATTCTGGGAAACTCACCTCTGAACAGAACTCCACCCTCTACCCCTGACACCATGACCCACTGTTGTTCCCCTTGCTGTCAGCCTACGTGCTGCAGGACCACCTGCTGGAAGCCCACCACTGTGACCACCTGCAGCAGCACACCCTGCTGCCAGCCCTCCTGCTGTGTGTCCAGCTGCTGCCAGCCTTGCTGCCGCCCAACTTGCTGTCAAAACACCTGCTGCCAGCCCATCTGTGTGACCAGCTGCTGCCAGCCTTCCTGCTGCAGCACACCCTGCTGTCAGCCCACCTGCTGTGGCCAAACCAGCTGTGGGTCCAGCTGTGGTCAGAGCAGCTCCTGTGCACCTGTGTACTGCAGAAGAACCTGCTACCACCCCACGACTGTCTGCCTGCCTGGTTGCCTAAACCAGAGCTGTGGCTCCAGCTGCTGCCAGCCCTGCTGCCGCCCAGCCTGCTGTGAGACCACTTGCTTCCAGCCCACCTGTGTGTACAGCTGCTGCCAGCCTTCTTGCTGCTGATCAAGTCCCAAGAGAACCACCATACTCACACAACAAATTTCTGCTCAACTGACTCATCTTTTGGGGGACTAATTTAATTTGCTGCTGACAGCCACCATGCTTTCACCCAAATTTTTATGAATTCTCTGCATGTTTAAAATCTTGTGAATCAGCCTGAGGGAGGGCAGAATACTTCATCTTGATTCTCTTTTTCCTTACACCTTGTGGATCATGTGCCAGCTTCGTCTGTTCTCAATTTGGAATCATGATCTCAACTTTGACTCAAAAGTCAAGAGGTTCATTCTCTGCTTCTAAGGAATATAGGTTTCTGCAACCGACCAATAATTTTTGCAATCACATTTTTGTTTTCAATATCCTCCTCATGGTTCTTGTATTCTTCTTTATTCTTTTCATGATAACTTTGAGTTATGTCCTTGGTAACAGAGATTCTTACCTATATATTTCTGAATAAACTCTTAACCATCCTCATCTCATATGGTGTTTTGTTTTATTTGAAAACATTCCTGATATGGGATTTACACACATATCACATACCATAGGTATTATCCAATTTTATTCTCAAAACAGATGGTCATGTATTATTACCTTCATTTTTTTAGCTGAGTACAATTTAATGCGTGATGTTATGTAGCTAATAAAACACAGACTCTGGTCCAAGCTGGGGTCCTCTCATTCTGCCCAAGGACACTTACATTTAACTCTCAATGTAGTGAAATGACATTGGAAGTCAGCACTAGCAAGACATGCACTTGAGTTTATTTAACAATGAGAGGAATGATCTCTTATATTTGCAGATAACATTTTTGTTCACAAAAAAGTTTTCCCAAATAAGTTTCCCACACCTCAGTGAGCAACAGCTGCATGATATGGCAGCAGGGACTGCATTTAATGGCTGCCCTGAAAGCAGGGATCTCTTTTTGTCTCATCCTCTGACCAGTCATTCATTCAATTCATCTGCATCAAAAAATGCTTGAGAATTCATTGTGGACTCATGAGAGAGTCTCATCTGAAGGAACTTATTCTCGATATCATGTAAATAAAATTG
Organism: Homo sapiens; assembly: GCF_000001405.40. Lineage (NCBI taxonomy): Eukaryota > Metazoa > Chordata > Mammalia > Primates > Hominidae > Homo > Homo sapiens. Next base: position 57,277 of record NW_003871092.1, on the reverse strand, counting down.
TTATATGGCCTCCATCTCCTGAACACCTATTGACGAAGTAAATGAAACTAAGTTATTCCTTGTAAAACACAGACTGTACCTTATGCCACATTAAGAAAATTTGTCCCATAATTGAGACGTTATGAGGAAAATTAAGTAAGAACAAAGCTGGGAATTGAGAAAGTGTGCAATGGGCATGTAAGACTTGGCACAATCCATTATCTCTATGAGAAGGAAGGGAATGAAACAACCTTCTGCAGTTTTTGAGGATAATATGAACCATCTAAAGAAACGAAAAACTTGTGTTTTCAGGGAAATCAACATAATGTAAGAAAGGAGCAAAGTAGAACTTCTGCATTCATAGAAGTCATGATAGGGGGAAGTTCCAAGGTGGCTGAATGGGAACAGCTCCAGTCTACAGCTCCCAGCATGAGTGACGCAGAAGATGGTTGATTTCTGCATTTCCAACTGAGGTACCGGGTTCATCTCACTGGGGCTTGTTGGACAGTGGGTGCAGGACAGTGGGTGCAGCCCACTGAGCATGAGCCAAAGCAGGGCGAGGCATTGCCTCACCCAGGAATTGCAAGGAGTCGGGGGAAGCTGTGACAGATGGCACCTGGAAAACTGGGTCACTCACACCCTAATACTGCCCTTTTCCAATGGTCTTACAAACGGCACACCAGGAGATTATGTCCCGTGCCTGGCTCAGAGAGCCCACGCCCACAGAGCCTCTCTCATTGCTAGCACAGCAGTCTGAGATCGAACTGCAAGGTGGCAGTGAGGCTGGGGGAGGGGCGCCTGCCATGGCTGAGGCTTGAGTAGATAAAGTGGCCAGGAAGCTCAAACTGGGTGGAGCCCACCACAGCTCAAGGAGGCCTGCCTGCCACTGTAGACTCCACCTCTGGGGCAGGGCATAGCCAAACAAAAGGCAGCAGAAACCTCTGCAGACTTAAATGTCCCATCTGACAGCTTTGAAGAGAGTAGTGGTTCTCCTAGCACACAGTTTGAGATCTGAGAACAGACAGACTGCCTCCTCAAGTGGGTCCCTGACCCCCAAGTAGCCTAACTGGGAGACACCCTCCAGTAGGGGCAGTCTGAGACCTCACATGGCTAGATACCCCTCTGAGATGAAGCTCCAGAGAAACGATCAGGCAGCAACATTTACTGTTCAGCAATATTCGCTGTTCTGCAGCCTCCGCTGCCGATACCCAGGCAAACAGCGTCTGGAGTGGACCTTCAGCAAACTCCAACAGACCTGCAGCTGAGGGTCCTGACTGTTAGAAGGAAAACTAACAAACAGAAAGGACATCCACACCAAAACCCCATCTGTATGTCACCATCATCAAAGACCAAAGGTAGATAAAATCACAAAGATGGGGAGAAACAGAGCAGAAAAGCTGAAAATTCTAAAAATCAGGTGCCTCTCACCTTCCAGAGGAGCACAGCTCCTTGCCAGCAACGGAACAAAGCTGGACGGAGAATGACTTTGATGAGTTGAGAGAAGAAGGCTTCAGATGATCAAACTTCTCCAAGCTAAAAGAGGAAGTTCGAACCCATTGCAAAGAAGCTAAAAACCTTGAAAAAAGATTAGACAAATGGCTAACTAAAATAACCAGTGTAGAGAAGTCCTTAAATGACCTGATGGAGCTGAAAACCATGGCATGAGAACTACGTGACGAATGCACAAGCTTCAGTAGCAAATTCAATCAACTGGAAGAAAGGGTATCAGTGATTGAAGATCACAGGAATGAAATGAAGAGAGAAGAGAAGTTTAGAGAAAAAAGAGTAAAAAGAAAGGAACAAAGCCTCCAAGAAATATGGGACTATCTGAAAAGACCAAATCTACATCTGATTGGTGTACCTGAAAGTGACGGGGAGAATGAAACCGAGTTGGAAAACACTCTGCAGGATATTATCGAGGAGAACTTCCCCAACCTAGCAAGACAGGCGAATATTCAAATTCAGGAAATACAGAGAACACCACAAAGATACTCCTCGAGAAGAGCAACTCCAAGACACATAATTGTCAGATTCACCAAAGTTGAAATGAAGGAAAAAATGTTAAGGGCAGCCAGAGAGAAACGTCGGGTTACCCACAAAGGGAAGCCCATCAGACTAACAGCAGATCTCTCGGCAGAAACTCTACAAGCCAGAAGAGAGTGGGGGCCAATATTCAACATTCTTAAAGAAAAGAATTTTCAACCCAGAATTTCATATCCAGCCAAACTAAGCTTCATAAGTGAAGGAGAAATAAAATACTTTACAGACAGGCAAATGCTGAGAGATTTTGTCACCACCAGGCCTGCCTTACAAGAGCTCCTGAAGGAAGCACTAAACATAGAAAGGAACAACCGGTACCAGCCACTGCAAAAACATGCCAAATTGTAAAGGCTGTCAATGCTAGGAAGAAACTGCATCAACTAACGAGCAAAATAACCAGCTAACATCATAATGACAGGATCAAATTCACACATAACAATATTAACGTTAAGTGTAAATGGGCTAAATGCTCCAGTTGAAAGACACAGACTGGCAAATTGGATAAAGAGTCAAGACCCATCAGTGTGCTGTATTCAGGAGACCCATCTCCCATACAGAGACACACATATGCTCAAAATAAAGGGATGGAGGAAGATCTACCAAGCAAATGGAAAAAAAAAAGGAGGGTTTGCAATTGTAGTCTGTGATAAAACTGACTTTAAATCAACAAAGATAAAAAGAGACAAAGAAGGCCATTGCATAATGGTAAAGGGATCAACTCAACAAGAATAGCTAACTATCCTAAATATATAAGCACCCAATACAGGAGCACCCAGATTCATAAAGCAAGTCCTTAGAGACCTACAAAGAGACTTAGACTCCCACACAATAATAATGGGAGAATGTAACACCCCACTGTCAACATTAGACAGATCAACGAGACAGGAAGTTAACAAGGATATCTAGAAATTGAACTCAGCTCTACGCCAAACGGACCTCATAGACATCTACAGAGCTCTCCACCCCAAATCAACAGAATATACATTCTTCTCAGCACCACATCACACTTATTCCAAAATTGACCACATAGTTGGAAGTAAAGCACTCCTCAGCAAATGTAAGAGAAGAGAAATTATAACAAACTGTCTCTCAGACAACGGTGCAATCAAACTAGAACTGAGGATTTAGAAACTCACTCAAAACCACTCAGTTACATGAAAACTGAACAACCTGCTCCTGAATGACTACTGGGTACATAACAAAATGAAGGCAGAAATAAAGATATTCTTTGAAACAAATGAGAACAAAGACACAACATACCAGAATCTCTGGGACACATTTAAAGCAGTGTGTACAGGGAAATTTATAGCACTAAATGCCCACAAGACAAAGCAGGAAAGATCTAAAATTGACACCCTAACATCACAATTAAAAGAACTAGAGAAGCAAGAGCAATCACATTCAAAAGCTAGCAGAAGGCAAGAAATAACTAAGATCAGAGCAGAACTGAAGGAAATAGAGACATGAAAAACCCTTCAAAAAATCAATGAATCCAGTCGCTGGTTTTTTGAAAAGATCAACAAAATTGATAGACCGTTAGCAAGACTAATAAAGAAGAAAAGAGAGAAGAATCAAATAGACGCAATAAAAAATGATAAATGGGATATCACCAACAATCCCACAGAAATACAGACTACCATCAGAGAATACTATAAACACCTCTATGCAAATAAACTAGAAAATCTTGAAGAAATGAATAAAGACTAAACCAGGAAGAAACTGAATCCCTGAATAGACCAATAACAGGCTCTGAAATTGAGGCAATAATTAATAGCCTACCAACCAAAAAAAAGTCCAGGAGCAGACGGATTCACAGCCAAATTCTACCAGAGGTACAAGGAGGAGCTGGTACCATTTCTTCTGAAACTATTATAATCAATAGAAAAAGAGGGACTCCTCCCTAACTCATTTTATGAGGCCAGCATCATCCTGATACCAAAGCCTGGCAGAGACACAACAAAAAAAGAGAATTTTCGACCAATATCCCTGATGAACATTGATGCAAAAATCCTCATTAAAATACTGGCAAACTGAATTCAGCAGCACATCAAAAAGCTGATCCAACATGATAAAGTGGGCTTCATCCCTGGGATGCAAGGCTGGTTCAACATATGCAAATCAATAAACATAATCCAGCATATAAGCAGAACCAAAGACAAAACCACGTGATATCTCAATAGATGCAGAAAAGGCCTTTGACAAAATTCAACAACTCCTCATGCTAAAAACTCTCAATAAATTAGGTATTGATGGGACGATCTCAAAATAATAAGAGCTATTTATGACAAACCCACAGCCAATATCATACTGAATGGGCAAAAACTGGAAGCATTCCCTTTGAAAACCGGCACAAGACAGGGATGCCCTCTCTCACCACTCCTATTCAACAGTGTTGGAAGTTCTGGCCAGGGCAATCAGGCAGGAGAAAGAAATAAATGGTATTCAATTAGGAAAAGAGGAAGTCAAATTGTCCCTGTTTGCAGGTGACATGATTGTATATTTAGAAAACCCCATCATCTCAGCCCAAAATCTCCTTAAGCTGATAAGCAACTTCAGCAAAGTCTCAGGATATAAAATCAAAGTGCAAAAATCACAAGCATTGTTATACACCAATAACAGACAAAGAGAGAGCCAAATCATGAAGGAACTCCCATTCACAATTGCTTCAAAGAGAATAAAATACCTAGGAATCCAACTTACAAGGGACGTGAAGGACCTCTTCAAGGAGAACTACAAACCTCTGCTCAATGAAATAAAAGAGGACACAAACAAATGGAAGAACATCCCATGCTCATGGATAGGAAGAATCAATATCATGAAAATGGCCATATTGCCCAGGGTAATTCATAGATTCAATGCCATTCCCATTAAGCTACCAATGACTTTCTTCACAGAATTGGAAAAAACTACTTTAAAGTTCATATGGAACCAAAAAAGGGCCTGCATTGCCAAGACACTCCTAAGCCAAAAGAACAAAGCTGGAGTCATCATGCTACCTAACTTAAAACTATACTAAAAGGCTATAGTAACAAAAACATCATGGTACTGGTACCAAAACAGAGGTATAGACCAATGGAACAGAACAGAGCCCTCAGAAATAATACCACACATCTACAACCATCTGATCTTTGACAAACCTGACAAAAGCAAGAAATGGGGAAAGGATTCCCTATTTAATAAATGGTGCTGGGAAAACTGGCTAGTCATACGTAGAAAGCTGAAACTGGATCCCTTCCTTACACCTTATACAAAAATTAATTTAAGATGGATTAAAGACTTAAATGTTAGACCTAAAACCATAAAAACCCTAGAAGAAAACCTAGGCAATACCATTCAGGACATAGGCATGGGCAAGGACTTCATGTCTAAAACACAAAAAGCAATGGCAATAAAAGCCAAAATTGACAAATGGGATCTAATTAAACTAAAGAACTTCTGCACAGCAAAAGAAACTACCATCAGAGTGAACAGGCAGCCTACAGAATGGGAGAAAATTTTTGAAATCTACTCATCTGACAAAGGGCAAATATCCAGAATCTACAAAGAACTCAAACAAATTTACAAGAAAAAAACAAACCATCCCATCAAAAACTGGATGAAGGATATAAACAGACACTTCTCAAAAGAAGACATGTATGCAGCCAAAAGACACATGAAAAAATGCTCATCATCACTGGCCATCAGAGAAATGCAAATCAAAACCACAATGAGATACCATCTCACACCAGTTAGAATGGCTATCATTAAAAAGTCAGGAAACAACAGGTGCTGGAGAGGATGTGGAGAAATAGGAACACTTTTACACTGTTGGTGGGACTGTAAACTAGTTTAACCATTGTGGAAGACGGTGTGGTGATTCCTCAAGGATCTACAACTAGAAATACCATTTGACCCAGCCATCCCATTACTGGGTATATACCCAAAGGATTATAAATCATGCTGCTATAAAGACACATGCACACGTATGTTTATTGCAGCACTATTCACAATAGCAAAGACTTGGAACCAACCCAAATGTCCATCAATGATAGATGGGATTAAGAAAATGTGACACATATACACCACAGAATACTATGCAGCCATAAAAAAGGATGAGTTCATGTCCTTTGTAGGGACATGGATGAAGCTGGAAACCATCATTCTCAGCAAACTATCGCAAGGACAAAAAACCAAACACCACACATTCTCAGTCATAGGTGGCAATTGAACAATGAGAACCGTTGGACGCAAGAAGGGGAACATCACACACCGGGGCCTATTATGGGGTGAGGGGAGTGGGGAGGGATAGCATTAGGAGATATATCTAATGTAAATAACGAGTTAATGGGTGCAGCACACCATTATGGTGCACGTATACATATGTAACAAACCTGCACATTGTGCACATGTACCCTAGAACTTAAAGTAAAAAAAAAAAAAAAAGAAAGAAAAAAAAAAGAAACAGAAGTCATGATAGACAGAGGTTTTTGCTTCGGGTCCTGAACTGATTCAAGCTAAGCATTCACCCACGGAAGGTTGATTGATACTGGATCTGTGAGAAATACAAAGATTGGGGACCTAGGTCACCTTCTTGGGGCCTCCTACAAGCAGGGGAGTGGTAGAAATACCTCTGATGAGCTAACAATGTAGATTTCCATGACAGATGCCACTTCTGAGACTGTGAATCTAGAATGCTCTGAAGACTTGGCTAAGAGACAACAGCCACTTACTGTCATCATCGTTCAGGGATGAAGTAAAGGAGATGAAAACTAGGACATTCTCTTTGACTAGCATCAGTTATGAAAGATGAATAAGTTCAGTAGGTCTAATGTACAGTAATATGACTATAGTTAAAAACACTTTATCATATACCTGAAATTTACTGAGAAGGTAGATCTTAAATGTTCACACCAGAAAAATAAAAAGGAAATGGTAACTAAGTGACCTAATAAATATGTTATTCACAATCAATATATATATCAGAGCATCACCTTCTATACCTGAAATGTACACAATTTTTGTTTGTCAATAATACCTCAATACAGCTAGAAAAAAACTATTTAGTTGATCTATTTAATTATTACAAAAATATTCTTATCTTCAACATAAAACTTGGGAATTTTCTGAACAAAAAACACTAATTCTGTGTTGCCTGCTCTATGATGGGTACTGGATAAATGCTTTGTGTACATTATTATTAACTATTTAACAAACTTTCAAAATACGTATTAATGTTCCCCTTGTAGAGATGAGAAATTTGAGGCTGAGAGAGTTAACGTATTGTCATAGATTAGTTTCTCCCAGAAGAGACTTTGAAGAAAATATTCCAGGGAAACTAGTTTACTGAGAAGTGCAGATCACACCGGTAGGGACTGGGGAAGTGATACAGAAGAAGGCACACTATTAAGTCAGTATCACAGTCACCAACTAAAGCTTAAACTAAAGGGAAAACTATCAGAAATGATGAAAAACACACAGCTAGAATTACCCTACTTCAGGAATGAGGAAGCTAAAGTCTTTATAAATCAGCTCTCCAGAATCATTGGTTGAGTGTTTTTCTCTGTGTTGCATTCACAGGTGGCATGACTTTCTACAGCTGCAATACAAGAGCCCTTAGGCACAGAGATGCAGATTTTGACAGATGGAAATTGATCCAAGCACAGTAACATCCAAGATATATGGGTGCAGTCATGAAAACTTGTCTACAATCTACAATTAGCTCCACTCAAGTCAAATATTTGCTACTTAAATAGGATGGGCAGCCACAAGCTCTAGGAGAAGGAAGAAGAGGAAGAGAGGAAGCAGAGGAAGAGAAGGGACAGAAGATGAGAGGAGAAGGAAAGAGAAAAGAAGGAAAGAAAAACAGAAAGACAGAGAGAAGGAAGGAAGGAAAGAAGGAAGGAAGGAAGGAAGGACAGGAAGGAGGGAGGGAGGGAAAGGAGGGAGCGGGGAGGAACTGAGGGAGGGGAAGGAAGGAAGGAAGGAAAAAAGAAAGAAAGAAAGATAAAAAGAAAGAAAGAAAGAGAAAGAAAGAAAGAGAGAGAAAGGGAGAGAGAAGGGAAGGGAAGGGAGGGAGGAAGGGAGGAAAAAAGGAAGGAAGGAAGGAAAAGAAAGAAAGAAAAGAAAGAAAGAAAGAAGAAAGAGGAAGGAAAGGAAAAGAAAGGAGAGGAAGTGAGATATAAAATGAAGGCCAATTAAATAATCTACACTTACTTCTGCTATAATACAGTGCACCTAAGTTTCATAAACTCCGTTAATTACCAAGAGTTCTATTCTCCCTTCACCCCTGGCCAGCACTCTTGTTGGTCTAGATAACTGCTGATAGAGTAGCTCAGAGCATCCTTCCTGAAGGGTCTGAGCCCCTGGTTACTATACCATTGTCCACCGTGATTGTTGTTTTTACTCATTTGTGGTTATCACTAGGCATGGACACGCTATGAGATTCTGCAGTGTTATGGGTTCATTTGCGTCCCTCAAAATTCATATTCAAATAGAATCATCTAAAGTGTTATCTGATAAGACAAGGTCATATTGGAAACAATTAGGCCTCTGATTAAATATGACTGTGTCTATTCACAAGGGAGAAATTCAGAGACAGTATGGATATAATAGAAAAATTATGTCAAACACACTTGGAGATGATAGACTTTGACACGTCAGGGAGAGAGACGTGGAACAGATACTTCCCTCGCAGTCTTCAGATGAAAACAACATTGCCAACACCTTAATTTCAGAAAAGAGGCCTTCAGAACTTTGATAAATAAATTTAAGCCACTTTTTTTCAGTAATTCATCAGGGCAGTGCTAGTAAATTAATATACTCAGTAAATCTCCTGAGCTATAGATATATTCTGCTACACTATATGGCTTGAGGGTAATTATCCCTCACCAAATAGTAACTACTTTCTCTGTCTGCTGCTTTGCTTATATGAAGAGTCCAAAATGACTAGGCGATAAAGATTACTTTTGTTTATGCCAAAGAAATAGAGAAGCAAATACTATACTTTTTATTCACATGAAAACTTTAAAAAACCAAAAGTTACCTACAGGATTACAACTGATAGAGTGATTAGCTGTCTTTGGGAATGAGTAAGAGCATATAATTGGGAGAGAATGGAATTAATTTCTATTTCCTAACATAGATGTAATGGGGACACAGATGTATTTACAATATAATACTATATCAAGTTGAAAATTAATAATTTGCATTCTTCTCAAATGAATGGTATACCTAGAAAATGTTTTAAACATGTTAGAACTCCATGATGAATCAGGCATCATCTCAACTCATCTAATTCCTTCATTAAAAAGAAATAGAGAGAGAGAGAGAAGACATGCTGCTTACTGTGCTAGTAACCGGGTTGCGACTAGAGCCACAGCACATGCTGGTTGGCCTGAATCTCAAGCATTTATGCCATAGAGAGTCCTACATTCTCATTCTGGAATCGCCACGCTCACAGACAAGTCAGAATGAATGGTCACTCAGGGCATAGATTACTTGATGCTGTCTAAATCCCAGTGGATTTATCTGCATCCACCTGCTCTCGATCTGCTCTGCCACATGGAACACACTGTGACAAACACCCTCTTCCCAAGTGATGTTCAAAGAACTGAAAGACAGGTGGTGTGGGTTGCACAGAGAGATGCCTGTTAGTCTTGAGTCAGAATTTGGTGGGTGACTAGTCTTGGGCCCAGGCATGGATTCATTTTGTCACTGTAAATATATCAGCATCATGCTTCTCCCCACAGACACTTCCCAGTCTACATACAGCCAAACATGAGGCTGGCCAGAGAGAACTTCCTGAGCCTCCCAGATCAACAGGAACTATCACATGACCAGATGATGGTCAGAACAGGAATGATGCTGATGATGAGATTGCCTTCCTTTTATCTGAAACAAAGTGTCTATGAGTAATTCACAATTAAGAAACAGATTAAACCTTAATCTGTTTAACCTTAAGGAAACAACTACCCTTTGAGAATCACAAACGGACTGGGAAAACAATGTAAACGGAAACAAGGAAAAGTCCTGCTGATTGGTGGAAACTTTGGAGGCCAGGTGTATAAAAGGTCCAGATTGCAAGGGGTCATCAGATTCTGGGAAACTCACCTCTGAACAGAAGCCCACCCTCCACCCCTGACACCATGACCCACTGTTGCTCCCCTTGCTGTCAGCCTACATGCTGCAGGACCACCTGCTGCAGGACCACCTGCTGGAAGCCCACCACTGTGACCACCTGCAGCAGCACACCCTGCTGCCAGCCCTCCTGCTGTGTGTCCAGCTGCTGCCAGCCTTGCTGCCGCCCAACTTGCTGTCAAAACACCTGCTGCCAGCCCACCTGTGTGACCAGCTGCTGCCAGCCTTCCTGCTGCAGCACACCCTGCTGCCAGCCCACCTGCTGTGGGTCCAGCTGTGACCAGAGCAGCTCCTGTGCACCTGTGTACTGCAGAAGAACCTGCTACTACCCCACAACTGTCTGCCTGCCTGGTTGCCTAAACCAGAGCTGTGGCTCCAACTGCTGCCAGCCCTGCTGCCGCCCAGCCTGCTGTGAGACCACTTGCTTCCAGCCCACCTGTGTGTACAGCTGCTGTCAGCCTTTTTGCTGCTGATCAAGTCCCGAGAGAACCACCATCCTCACACAACAACTTTCTGCTCAACTGACTTATCTTTTGGGGGACTAATTTAATTTGCTGCTGACAGCCACCATGCTCTCACCCAAATTTTTATGAATTCTCTACATGTTTAAAATCTTGGGAATCTGCTTGAGGGAGGGCAGAATACTTCATCCTGATTCTCTTTTTCCTTACACTTTGTGGATCATGTGCCAGCTTCGTGTGTTCTCAATTTTGAGTCATGGTCTCAGCTTTGACTCAAAAGTCAAGAGCTTCATTCTCTGCTTCTAAGGAATTTAGGTTTCTGCAACTGATCAATAATCTTTGCAATCATATTTTTGTTTTCAATATCCTCCTCATGGTTCTTGTATCCTTCTTTCTTCTTTTCATAACTTTGGGTTATGTTTCTGCTACCAGCAGAGATTCTTAGCTATATGTTTCTGAATAAACTCTGAACCATCCTCATCTCATATGGTGTTTTGTTTTATATGAAAGCATTCCTGATATGAGATTTACACACATATCACATACCATAGGTATTATCCAATTTGATTCTCAAAACAGATGGTCGTGTGTTATTACCTCCATTTTTTCAGCTGAGAACAATTTAATGTGTGATGTTATGTAGCTAGTAAAGGGCAGACTCTTGTCCAAGCTGAGGTCCTCTCTTTCTGCCCAAGGACACTTACATTTAACTCTCAATATAGTAGAAATGACATTGGAAGTAAGTATTAGCAAGTCATATACTTGAGTTTTTTTAACAATAGGACAAATAATCTCTTATATTTGCAGATAACGTTTTTGTTTACAAAAAATTCCCAATTTCCCACACCTCAGTGAGAAACAGCTGCGTGATATGGCAGCAGGGACTGCATTTAATGGCTGCCCTGAATGCAGGGATCTCTTTTTGTCTCAGCCTCTGACCAGCCACTCATTCAATTCATCTACATCAAAAAAAGCTTGGGAATTTATTGTGGACTCATGAGAGAGAGTCTCATCTGAAGAAACTTGTTGTCAATATCATGTAAATAAAATACTTATACAGCCTTCATCTCCTGAATACCTATTGATGAAGTAAATGAAACTAAGTTATTTCTTGTAAAATGCAGACCATACATTTTGCCACATTAAGAAAATTTGTCCCCTAATTGTAATGTTATGAGGGAAATTATGTAAGAACAAAGCTGAGAATTGAGAAACTACACAATGGGCATGTAAGACTTGGCACAATCCATAATCTCTGAGCCAAGTAAGGGAATGAAACAGCCTTCTGCATTTTGTGAGGCCAATAGGAAGCATTCAAAGAAATGAAAAACTTGTGTTTCCAGGGAAATCAGAAGAATGTAAGAAAGGAGCAAAGTAGAACTTGTGCATTCATAGAAGTCATAATAGACAGAGGTTAGTGCTTTGGGTCCTGAACCGATGTAAGCTAAGCATTCACCCATGGAAAGATTGATTGATACAGGCTCTGAGAGAAATATAAAAGTTGGGGACCTGGGTCACCTTCTTCGGACCTCCTACCAGCACTGGAGTGCTAGAAGTACCTCTGATCAGCTAAAAATGTAGATTTCCATGACAGATGCCAACTTCTGAGACTGTGAATCTAGAATGCTCTGAAGACTTGGCTAAGAGACAACGGCCACTTACTGTGATCATCGTTCAGGGTTGAAGTAAAGGAGATGAAAACTAGGACATTCTCTTTGACTAGCATCATTTATGAAAGATGAATAAGTTCAGCATGTCTACTGTACAGTAATGTGACTATAGTTAATAACACTTTATCATATACCTGAAATTTACCAAGAAGGTAGATCTTAAATGTTCACACCACAAAAATTAAAAGGAAATGGTAGCTTCGTGACCTAATAAACATATTATTCACAAGGAATATATATATCAGAACATCACCTTGTATACCTGAAATAGATACAACTTTTATTTGTCAATTATACCTCAATACAGCTAGGAAAAAAGTATTTAGTTGATCTAGTTAATTATTACAAAAATATTCCTATCTTCAACATTAAAATTGGTAATTTTCTGAACAAGAAACACTAATATGTTCTGGATTGCCTGCTATAGGATGGGTATTTGCTAAACACTTTGTGTACATTATTATTAACTCTTTAACAAACTTTCAGAATAGGTATTAATATTCCCAGCGTAGAGATAAGAAAATTGAGGCTGAGGGAGTTAACATAATGTCATAGATTAGTTTCTCCCGAAAAGACTTTGAAGAAAAGATTCCAGTGAAACTAGTTTACTGGGAAGTGCAGATCACACCGGTAGGAATTGGGGAAGTGATACAGAAAAGGGTACACTATAAAGTCAGTATCACAGTCACCAACTAAAGCTTAAACTAAAGGGAAAACTATCAGAAATGATGAAAAACACACAGCTAGAATTATCCTACTTCAGGAATGAGGAAGCTAGAGTCTTTATAAATCAGCTCTCCAGAATCATTGGTTGAGTGTTTTTCTCTGTGTTGCATTCACAGGTGGCATGACTTTCTACAGCTGCAATACAAGAGCCCTTAGCCACAGAGATGCGGACTCTGACAGATGGAAATTAATCCAAGCACACTAACTTGCAAGATATATGGGCGCACTTACGAAAACTTGTCTGAGACCTACAATTAGCTCCACTCAAGTCAAATCTTTGCTGTTTAAATGTGATGGAGAGCCACAAGCTCTAGAAGAAGGAAGAAGCAGAGGAGAGGAAGAGAAGGAACAGAAGATGAGAGGAGGAAAGAGAAAAGAAACAAAAAAGAAAAAGAGAAGGGAGGAAGAAAGGAAGGAAAAGGAAAGGGAAGGGAAGGGAAGGGATAAAGGAACCAAAAAAAACATGAAGGAAGGAAGGAGAAGGGGTGATTGAAGAAAAAGAAAGAAAGAAAAATGAAGAAGGAAACGAAAAGCTGGGGGAGGAAGTGAGATATAAAATGAAGGCCAATGAAATAAGCTACACTTACTGCTGCTATAATACAGTGCACCTGAGATTCATAAGCTCCATTAATTACCACCAGTCCTATTCTCCCTTCACCCCTGGCCAGCACTCTTGTTTGTCTAGATAACTGCCTGAGGGAGTAGCTCAGAGCATCCTTCCTGAAGGGTCTGAGCCCCTGGTTACTATACCACTGTCCGCTGTGATTACTGTTTTTACTGTTTTGTGGTTATCACTGGGCATGGACACACTATGAGATTCTGCAGTGTTATGGGTTAATTTGTGTCCTCCAAAATTCATGTTCAAATAGAATCATTTAAAATGTTATGTGATAAGAAAAGGTCATATTGGAAACAATTAGGCTTCTGATTAAATATGACTGATATCTATACACAAGGGGGAAATTCAGAGACAGTATGCATATAGTAGAAAACTTATGTCAAACACACATGGAAATGATAGACATCTACAAGTCAAGGAGAGAGACCTGGAACAGATACTTCCCTCGCAGGCTTCAGATGAAAACAACATTGCCAACAGCTTAATTCCAGACTAGAGGCCTTTGGAACTGTGAAAAAATAAATTTAAGCCACTTGGTTTGCAGTAATTTACCATGGCACTGCTAGTAAGTTAATATACTCAGTAAATCACCTGAGCTATAGATACATTCTCCTACACTATGTGGCTTGAGGATAATTACCCCTCACCAAATAGTAACTCCTTTCTCTGTCTGCTGCTCTCCTGACATGAAGAGTCCAAAGTGACTATGCAATAACGATTACTTTTGATTATGCTAAAGAAATAGAGAAGCAAATACTGTAATTTTTATTTACATGAATATTTTTTAAAGCCAAAAGTTAGCTATAGGATTACAACTTGACAGAGTGATTAGCTGTCTTTGGGAATGAGTAAGAGGATATAATTGGGAGAGAATGGGATTAATTTCTATTTTCTAACATAGATGTAATGGGGACATAGATGTATTTACAATATAATAATGTATCAAGTTGGAAATTAATAATTTGCATTCCTCTGAAATGAATGGTAATTCCTAGAAAATGTTTTAAACATGTTAGAACTCCACGATGAATCAGGTGTCATCTCAACTCATCTAATTAATTCATTAAATAGAAGGAGAGGCTGTGGATGGTGGCTCATGCCTGTAATATCAGCACTTTGGGAGGCCGAGGCAGGCAGCTCACAAGGTCAGGAGTTCGAGACCAGCCTGACAAATATGGTGAAACCCTCTCTCTACTAAAAATACAAAAATTAGCCGGGCATGGTGGCCGGCATCTGTAGTGGCAGCTACTCAGGAGGCTGAGGCAGGTGAATCCCCTGAATCGAGGAATCAGACGTTGCAGTGAGCCGAGATCACGCCACTGCACTCCCGTCTAGGCGACAGAGAAAGACTCCGTCTAAGAAAGAAAGAGAAGAAATGATACTGACTGTGCTAGTAACCAGGGTTATGGCTAGAGCCACAGCTTATGCACGTTGGCCTGAATCTCAAGCAGTTATGTCATAGAAAGTTCTACATTCTCATCCCGGTAATCCCCACACTCGCAGACAAGTGAGAATGAATGCTCACCCCTGGGCGTAGATTGCTTGATGCTGTCTAAATCCCAGTGGATTTCTCTGCATCCACCTGCTCTCGATCGGCTCTGCCACATGGAACACACTGTGACAGACACCCTCTTCCCAAGTGACGTTCAAATAACTGAAAGACACAGGTGGTGAGGATTGCACAGAGATGCCTGTTAGTCTTGAGTCAGAATTTGGTGGGTGAATTGTCTTGGGCCCAGGCATGGATTCATTTTGTCACTGTAAATATATCAGCATCATGCTTCTCCCCACAGACACTTCCCAGTCTACATACAGCCAACTGTGAGGCTGGGCAGAGAGAATTTCCTGAGCTTCCCAGATCACCAAGAACTATCACATGACTAGATGATGGTCAGAGCAGGAATGATGCTGATGATGAGATGGGCTTCCTTTTATCTGAAAGGAAGTTTCTATGAGTAATTCACAATTAAGAAACAGATTAAACCCTTACTTTCAAAAGATTCATAAGTTTTCAGAAACAATTTCCCCTTTGACAATCCCAAAGGTACTGTGGAAAACAGTGTAAACAGCAACAAGGAAAAGTCCTGCTGATTGGTGGAAACTTTGGAAGCCAGGTGTATAAAAGGTCCAGATTGCAAGGGGTCATCAGATTCTGGGAAACTCACCTCTGAACAGAAACCCACCCTCCACCCCTGACACCATGACCCACTGTTGCTCCCCTTGCTGTCAGCCTACCTGCTGCAGGACCACCTGCTGCAGGACCACCTGCTGGAAGCCCACCACTGTGACCACCTGCAGCAGCACACCCTGCTGCCAGCCCTCCTGCTGTGTGTCTAGCTGCTGCCAGCCTTGCTGCCGCCCAGCTTGCTGTCAAAACACCTGCTGCAGGACCACCTGCTGCCAGCCCACCTGTCTGACCAGCTGCTGCCAGCCTTCCTGCTGCAGCACAACCTGCTGCCAGCCCATCTGCTGTGGGTCCAGCTGCTGTGGCCAAACCAGCTGTGGGTCCAGCTGTGGCCAGAGCAGCTCCTGTGCACCTGTGTACTGCAGAAGAACCTGCTACTACCCGACGACTGTCTGCCTGCCTGGTTGCCTCAACCAGAGCTGTGGATCCAGCTGCTGCCAGCCCTGCTGCCGCCCCGCCTGCTGTGAGACCACCTGCTGCAGGACCACTTGCTTCCAGCCCACCTGTGTGTCCAGCTGCTGCCAGCCTTCTTGCTGCTGATCAAGTCCCAAGAGAACAACCATCTTCACACAACAACCTTCTGCTCAACTGACTTATCTTTTGGAGGACTAATTTACCTTACTGCTGACAGCAACCATGTTCTCACCCAAATTTTTATGAATTCTCTGCATATTTAAAATCTTGTGAATCAGCTTGAGGGAGGGCAGAATACTTCATCCTGATTCTCTTTTTCTTATACCTTGTGAATCATGTGCCAGCTTCATCTGTTCTCAATTTTGAGTCATGGTCTCAGCTTTGACTCAAAAGTCAAGAGCTTCATTCTCTTCACTTAAGAAACTTAAGTTGCTGCAAATGATTAAGAATCTTCACAACTATGTTTTCTTTTCAATATACTCATGATTCTTGTATCCTGCTTCCTTCTTTTAATGATCACTTTGGGTTATCTCCCTATAACCAGGGATCTTACCTATATATTTCTTAATAAATAAATTTGGAACTATTATTCATACCATATGGTGATTTGTTTTATTTGAAAACATTCCTGATATGGGATTTACACATATATCACATACCATATGTATTACCCAATTTGATTCTCAAAACAGACAGTCATGTATTATTGCCTCCATTTTCCAACTGGGAAAGTTTTAATGTGTGATGTTATGTAGCTAATAGTGGACAGACTCTGATGCAAGGTTGCGTCTTCTCTTTCTGTCCAAAGACACTTACATTTAACTCTCAATAAAGTAGTAATGACATTGGGATTCAGCACTAGCAAGTTATGCACTTGAGTTTATTTAACAATGGAAATAATAATCTCTAGTATTTGGCAAGAGATAACATTTCAGTTCACAAAAGTCTTCCCAAATTAATTGCCCACCCGTCAGTGAGCAACAGCTACATGATACAGCAGCAGGGTCTGCATTTAGCAGCTGTCATGAATGCAGGGATCCTATTGGCCTATACCAGCCAATCATTCAATTCACGTGCATCAAAGAAATTTTTTAACCTTTTTTTAAGGTTCAGGGGTACGTGTGCCGGGTTATTTTATAGTTAAATTGTGTGTTGCAGGGTTTGGTGTACAGATTAGTTCTTCACCCAGGTAATAAGCATAATACCTGATAGGCAGTTTTTTGATTCTCATTCTCCTCCCACAGTCCACCCACAGGTAAGTTCCAGTGTCTGTTGTTCCCTTCTTTGTGTTCATATGTATTCAATGTTTGGCCCCCACTCTTATGTGAGAACATGTGTTATTTGGTTTTCTGTTCCTGTGTTAGTTCCCTTGGGATAATGGCCTCCGGCTCCATCTGTGTTGCTGCAAAGGACATCATCTTGTTCTTTTTTTCCTTTTTTTTCTGTATAGTATTCCATGGTGTATATGAAACACATTTTCTTTATCCAGTCTACTTTTGATGTACATTTTAAGTTGACTCTATGTCTTTGCTATTGTGAGTAGTGTTGCAATGAACATACGCATGCATGTGTCTTTATGGTAGAACAATTTATATGCATTTGGGTATATACCCAATAATTGAATTGCTGGGTCAAATATTAATTCTAAGTTCTTTGAGAGATCCCAAAACTGCTTTCCATAATGGTTAAACTAATGTGCAATTCCACCAACAGTGTATAAGTGTTTCTTTTTCTACAAAAACTTGCCAGCATCTTTTATTTTTTGACTTTAATAAGAGCTATTCTGACTTGTGTCAGAGGGCATCTCATTGTGGTTTTAACTTGCATTTCTCTAATCATCAGTGATGTTGATCATTTGTTCATATCCTTTTTGGCCGCTTGAATGTCTTCTTTTGAAAAGTGTCTGTTCGTGTCCTTTGACCACTTTCTAATGAGATTGTTTGGTTTTTGCTTGTAAATTTGTTTAACTTCCTTACAGATTCTGGATATTAGACCTTTGTTGGATAGATAGCTTGCAAATATTCTCTCCCATTCTGTAGGTTGTCTGTTTACTCTGTTGATAGTTTCTTTTGCTGTGCAGAAGCTCTTAAGTTTAATTAGGTCCCATTTGTCAATTTTTTCTCTTTTTACAATTACTTTTGGTGACTTCATCATAAAATCCTTGCCTGGTCCTATGTTTAGAATGGTATTGCCTAGGTTGTCTGCCAGCGTTTTTATAGCCTTAGGTTTTACATGTAAGTCTTTGATCCATCTTGAGTTGATTTTTGTATACCATGTAAGGAAGGGGTCCAGTTTCAATCTTCTGCAAATGACTAGCCAGTTATCTCAGCACCATTTATTAAATCAGGAGTCTTTTCCCCACTGCCTATTTTCATCAACTTTGCTGAAGATCACATGTTGTAGGTGTGCAACATTATTTCTGGGCTCTGTATTCTGTTCCATTGGTCTGTGTGTCTGTTTTTGTACCAGTACCATGCGGTTTTGGTTATTGCAGCCTGTAATGTAGTTTGAAGTCAGATAATGCGATGTCTTCAGCTTTGTTATTTTTGCTTAGGATTGCCTTGGCCATTCAGGCTCTTTTTTGGTTCCATATGAATTGTAAAACATTTTTTTTCTCATTCTGTGAAGGCTGTCATTGGTAGTTTGATAGGAGTGATACTGAATCTGTAAATTGCTTTAGGGAGTATGGCCATTTTAACAATATTGATTCTTTCTACCCATGAGCATAAAATATGTTTCAATTTGTTTGTGTCATCTTTAATTTCTTTGAGCAGTGTTTTGCAATTCTTGTTGCAGAGATCTTTCACCTCCCTGGTTGGCTGTATTCCTAGGTATTTTGTTGTTTTTTGTGGCTATTGTGAAAAGGATTACATTATTGATTTGGCTCTCAACTTGGATGTTGTTGGTGTATAGGAATGCTACTGATTTTTGTACAATAATTTTGTATCCTGAAACTTTGCTGAAGTTGCTAATCAGATCAAGGAGTTTTTGGGTAGAGACAATGAGGTTTTCTGGGTGTAAAATCTTCTTCACACACAGAGATAGTTTAACTTCCACTTTTCCTATCTAGATACCTTTACTTTATTTCTCTTGCCATATTTCTCTGGCTAGGACTTTCATTACTATTTTGAATAGGAGTGGTGAGATATGGCATGTTTGCCTTGTTCTGGTTTTCAAGAGGACACATCAAAAACTTTTCAGAATGCATCATATCCTCATTTGAAGAGACTAATTCCTTCGTATCAAATAAATCAAATTCATATCTGGCCTCCTGCTGAAATTTCATTGAAAGAGCAAAATGGAATTAAGTAATTCCATGTAAAATACAGACCATACCTTATGCAACATTTAGACAATTTGACTTCCTGATAAAAATGTTATCAGGAAAATTAAGTAAGGACAAAGTTTAGGATTGAGACACTATGCAACAGGCACATATGACTTTGCATAATCCATAATCTCTGAGTTATCTAATGGGTTAAAACAATCTTCTATGCTTTATGAGGCCAAAATTAAGCATCTAAAGGAAATAAACATTTGTGTTTTCAGGGAAATCAGAAGAATGTAAGACGGACTGAAAGTAGAAAAATGTGTACATTCATAGAAGTCATGATAGGCAGATGGCTGGTGCTTTTGGCCCTGAACTGATGATGCAACCCAAGCATTCACTAATGGAAGGACTGATTTATACTGGCTCTGAGAGAAATAGAAAAGTCTGGGACCTGGATTACCTTTGTGGGACCTCCTACCAGCATGGGAGTGCTAGAAATACCTCTGATGAGCTAACGATGTAGACTTCCAGGACGGATCCCAACTTCTGAGACTGTGTACCTAGAGTGCTTTGGAGACTTGGCTAAGAGACAAAATCCATTGACTGTGATTCTTCTGGGGTGACAGGGTAAAGGAGATGAAGACCTAAAACATTCACTTTGGCCAAGATCAGGTATGCAAGGTAAATAAGCTCTGCAGACCTAGTGTACAGTAGTGTGGCTGTAGGTAAAAATATTTTATTTTATACCTGAAATGGCAAGTATGTGAGCTAATGAATATGTGAATTAGCTTCACTGTGATGAATATCTCACTATAAATATATATATCAAAACATCACTTTTTATACCTTAAATATATACAATTTTTATTCAATTATACCTCAGTAAAGTTAGTAAAAACCAAATCTAGCAGCACATCAAAAAGCTTATCCACCATGATCAAATTGCTTCATCCCTGGGATGCAAGGCTGGTTCAACATATGCAAATCAATAAACATAATCCATCACATAAACAGAACCAATGATAAAAACCACATGATTATCTCAATAGATGCAGAAAAGGCCTTCGATAAAATTCAACATCCTTCATGTTAAAAACTCTCAATAAACTAGGTATTGATGGAACATATCTCAAAATAATAAGAGCTATTTTTGACAAACCCATAGCCAATATTATACTGAATGGGCAAAAGCTGGAAGCATTCCCTTTGAAAATGGCACAAGACAAGAACGCCCTCTCTCACCACTCCTATTCAACATAGTATTGGAAGTTCTGGCCAGGACAATCAGGCAAAAGAAAGAAATAAAGGCATTCAGATAGGAAGAGAGGAAGTCAAATTGTCTTTGTTTGCAGATGACGTGATTCTATATTTAGAAAACCTCAGTGTCTCATCCTAAAAACTCCTTAAGCTGATAAGCAACTTTAACAAAGTCTCAAGATACAAAATCAATGACAAAAATCACAAGCATTCTTATACACCGATAATAGACAAGCAGAGAGCCAAATCATGAGTGAACTCCCATTCACAATTGCAACAAAGAGAATAAAATACCTAGGAATACAACTTACAAGGGATGTGAAGGACCTCTTCAAGGGAAACTACAAACCACTGCTCAAGGAAATAAGAGGGGACACAAACAAATTGAAAATCATTACATGATCATGGATAGAAAGAATCAATATCATGAAAACGGCCATGCTGCCCGAAGTAATTTATAGATTAAATGCTATTCCCATCAAGCTACCCTTGACTTTCTTCACAAAATTTAAAAAAAAAACTACTTTAAATTTCATATGGAACCAAAAAAGAGCCCGTATCACCAAAACAATCCCAAACAAAAGAACAAAGCTGGAGGCATCACGCTACCTGACTTCAAACTATACTACAAGGCAACTGTAACCACAACAGCATGGTACTGATATCAAAACAGATATATAGACCAATGGAACAGAACTGAGACCTCAGAAATAACACCACACATCTACAACCATCTGATCTTTGACAAACCTGACAAAAACAAGCAATGGGGAAAAGATTCCCTATTTAATAAATGGGGCTGGGAAAACTGGCTAGCCACATGCAGAAAACTGAAAGTGGACCCCTTCATTACACCTTATACAAAAGTTAACTCAAGATGGATTAAAGACTTAAATGTGAAACCCAAAATCATAAAAACCCTAGAAGAAAACCTAGGCAATAACTTTCAGGACATAGACATGGGCAAAGACTTCATGACAAAAATGCCAAAAACTATCACAACAAAAGCCAAAATTGACAAATGGGATCTAATTAAACTAAATAGCTCCTGCACAGCAAAATAAACTATCATCAGAGAGAACACACAACCTACAGAATGGGTGAGAATTTTTGCAATCTACCCATCTGACAAAGGTCTAAAATCCAGAATCTACAAGGAACTTAAACAAGTTTACAAGAAAAACAAACAACCTCATCAAAAAGTGGGCAAAGGATATGAACAGACACTTCTCAAAAGAAGACTTTTATGTGGCCAACAAACATATGAAAAAAAGCTCATCATCATTGATCATTAGAGAAATGCAAATCAAAACCACATTGAGATACCATCTCATGCCAGTCATAATGGTGATTATTAAAAAGTCAGGAAACAATAGATGCTGGAGAGGCTGTGGAGAAATAGGAATGCTTTTACACTGTTGGTGGGATAGTGAATTAGTTCAACCACTGTGTAAGACAGTGTGGCAATTCCTCAAGGATCTAGAACCAGAAAAACCATTTGACTCAGCAATCCTATTACCGGGTATATACTCAAAGGAATATAAATGATTCTACTATAAAAACACATGCACATATATGTTTATTGCAGCAGTATTTACAATAGCAAAGACTTGGAACCAACCCAAATGCCCATCAGTGATAGACTGGATAAAGAAAATGTGGCACATATAAACCATGGAATCCTATGCAGCCATAAAAAACAATGAGTTCATATCCTTTGCAGGGACATGGAAGAAGCTGGAAGCCATCATTCTCAGCAAAGTAACACAGGAGCAGAAAACCAAACACCACATGATCTCACTCATAAGTGGGAGTTGATCAACCAGAACACACAGACACAGGGAGGGGAACATCACACACCAGGGCCTGTTGTGGGGGTCGGGGGCAAGGGGAGGGAGAGCATTAGGACAAATACCTAATGCATGCAGGGCTTAAGACCTAGAGGACAGGTTGATAGGTGCAGCAAACAATCATGGCACATGTATACCTACTCAACAAACCTGCACATTCTGCACATGTGTCCTGGAACTTAAAGTAAAAGAAAAAAAGTTGATCTAGTTAATTATTATAAATATATTCTTATCATCAACATTAAAATTAGTTTAGGAATTTCTGGAGAGAAAAGAAATAATATGTTTTCAGTTGCCTATCATTTGATGGATATTGTGTAAATCTTTTATGTACATTATCATTAATTATTGAAAAAACTTTCAAAGTAGGCATTAGTGTTCTAATTGTAGAGATGAGGAAATTGAGGCTGAGAGATGTAATGTCATAGTTTGGTTTTTCCCAGAAGATACTCTGAGAAAAAGATTCCAATGAATACAGTGTATTAGGAAGGGCAGAACAGGCCAGAAGGGATTGTGGCAGTGATACAGAAAAGGGTATACTATTAAGCCAGTATCACAGAGATCAACTGAAGCTTAAGCTAAAGGGAAATTTTTCAGAAATGATGAAAAACACACAACTTTGAATTCTCAAACTTCAGCAGTGAAGAAGCTAGAGTCTGTATAAATCCACTCTTTAGAATTTTCAGTTGAATATTTTTCTCCCTGTAGTGTGCACAGGTGACATGACTTTCTGTAGTTGCAATACAAGAGCCCTAAGGCACAGAGATGCAGATTCAGGCAGATGGAAATTGGTATGAGCACCCTAAGTTCCATGATATACAGGTATGGTAATGAAGACCTGTCTACAGTAACATTTGCTCCATTCAAGTCCAATCTTTCCTTCTTAAATGTAATGGACAGCCATGAACTCTAGGAGAAAAAGGAGGAGGAGGAAGAGGAGGAACAGAAGGTGAGAGAGGAGGAAAAAACTAGGAAAGATATGGGAAGAAGACAATATACACAGACAGGAAGAAAGGAACGGAGGAAGAAAGAGAGCAAGAGACAGAAGGAAAGAGAGTGAAAAGGAAGGAAGGAATGAAGGAAGGAAGGAAGGAAGGAAGGAAGGAAGGAAGGAAGGGGAAGGAAGGAAGGAAAAGGAAAGAAAGAAAGAAGAGAAAGAAAGGGGAGGGGAGGGGTGGGGAGGGGAGGGGAAAGGAAGGGAAGGGAAGGGAAGGAAGGGAAGGGAAGGGAGGGAAGGGAAAAGAAACTACTGCTGTAATAGGGTGCTTCTGAGATTCATAATCTCCATCAGTTTCCGCCAGTTCTATACTCCCTTCATCACTGGCCAGCACTCCTGTTAGTTTAGATAATTGCCTGATGAAGTAGCTCAGAACTTCCTGCCTGATGGGTCTTACCCTCTAGTTACTTACTACACCATTCTCCAACTGTGGTTGCTTTTGTTACTCATTTGTGTTTATCAATGGGCATGGATACACTACGAGATATTCCAAGGTTATGGGTCGAATTGTGTCCCCAAGAACTCATATTCAAATAGGGTCACTTAAATGCAAGATGGTAAGATAAGGTCATATTGGAATAAATTGTGCTTCTGATTCAATGTGACTGGTGTCTGTATAAACAGGGGAAATTCAAACAGGATGCATATAGAGGGAAGATGATGTAAGAGACACATGGAGAAGATAGACATCTACAGGTCAAGGAGAGAGACCTGAAACAGATATTTCCCTCACAGCCCTCAGATGAAAACAACATTGCCAACACCTTTATTTTAGCCTTCAGAACTGTGAGAAAATAAACTTCAGCCACTTGATTTGCCATAGTTTTTAATGGCAGTGTAATGCTTTAATATATATAGTAAATTTCTTGAGTTTCAGATATATTCTCCCTACGCTCTATGGCTTCACGAAAATTATCCCTCATGGAATATTAACTCCTTTATCTACCTGCTGGTCTGCTAACATGAAGGATCCAAAATGAAATGACCAGGTTATAATTGCTGCTTTTGATTATGCCAAAAACACAGTGAAGCAAATTCTATAATTTTTATTTACATAAAAGTCAAAGAAAAAAACAAAACTGACCTACAGGATTAAAACTTGATAGAGTGACTAGCTACCTTTGGAGATAAGTAAAAAGATATAATTTGGAGGGAATGGAATTAATTTCTATTTTGTAAACTGGTAATGGGGACTTAGATGTATTTATAATGTAATATTATATCAAGTTGGAATTCATAATTTGCACTCTTCTGAAATGAATGGTATAATTTAAAAAGTTTTAAACAATGGTAAACCTCAAAGAGGAATCAGATATCATCTCAACTCACCTAATTCCCTCACTGAAAACAGAGAGACAGAGAGAGAGAGAGAGAGAGACAGAGACAGAGACAGAGACAGAGACAGAGACAGAGACAGAGAAATGGCAATGATTGTGCCAGTAACCTGGATTAGGGCTAGAGCCACAGCTCATATTGCTTTGCCTGGACCTCAAGCAGTAATGTCACAGTAATTCCCAGTCCCACATTCTCATGCTGGTAAGCCCCTCAGTCCCAGACAAATCAGGATGAATGGTCACCGCAGCACGTAGATTGCTTGATGCTTTGTGAATTCCAGTGAACCCCTCCTCTTTCTACGTGTTTGCTTTGGCTCTGCTCTGCCACATAGCACACATTGTGCTGAACACCCTCTTCCCAAGAGGCTTTTATAGAACTGGAAGAGACAGGTAAAGTAGGTTGTACATAGAGAGATGCCTATCAGTCTTGAATCAGACTTTGGTGGGTGAACAGTCTTGGTCCCAAGCATGGATTCAATTCACCACTGTGAATATATCAACATCATGCTTCTCCCCACAGACACTTCCCAGTCTACATACAGCCAAAGGATGAGACTGGGCAGAGAGAACTTCCTGAGCCTCCCCAGTCACCAGGAACTATCACATGACGAGATGCTGGTCAGAGCAGGAACGAAGCTGATGATGAGACTGCCTTCCTTTTATCTGAAACAAAGTTTCTACGAGTAATTTACAATTAAGAAACAGATTAAACCCTTACTTTCCAAAGATTCATAACATTTAGGAAATGACTTCCTCTTTGACAATGCCAAACTGACTATGGAAAACAACTGTAAACAGCAAGAAAGAAAAATCCTGCTGATTGGTGGAAACTTTGGAGGCCACATGTATAAAAGGTCCAGATTGCAAGGGGTCATCAAATCCTGGGAAACTCACCTCTGAACAGAAGCCCACCCTCCACCCCTGACAACATGACCCACTGTTGCTCCCCTGGCTGTCAGCCTACCTGCTGCAGGACCACTTGCTGCAGGACTACCTGCTGGCAGCCCACCATTGTGACCACCTGCAGCAGCACACCCTGCTGCCAGCCCTCCTGCTGTGTGTCCAGCTGCTGCCAGCCTTGCTGCCACCCAACTTGCTGTCAAAACACCTGCTGCAGGACCACCTGCTGCCAGCCCACCTGTGTGACCAGCTGCTACCAGCCTTCCTGCTGCAGCACACCCTGCTGCCAGCCCATCTGCTGTGGGTCCAGCTGCTGTGGCCAAACCAGCTGTGGGTCCAGCTGCTGCCAGCCCAGCTCCTGTGCACCCATCTACTGCAGGAGAACCTGCTACCACCCCACGAGTGTCTACCTGCCTGGTTGCCTAAACCAGAGCTGTGGCTCCAGCTGCTGCCAGCCGTGCTGCCGCCCAGCCTGCTGTGAGACTACCTGCTGCAGGACCACTTGCTTCCAGCCCACCTGTGTGACCAGCTGCTGTCAGCCTGCTTGCTGCTGATCAGTTCCGCAGAGGACCATCATCCCCATACAGTAACCCTCTGGCAAAAGATTTACCTTCTGGGGGACAAATTTACTTTCAAACTGTGATGAAAACCAACAATGTGAACTTAGGGTGAACTTTGCTCACCCTAATTTTTATGACTTCTCTGCATGTTTAACATTTTGTGAATCAGCTTGAGTGAGGGTAGAGTACTTCATCCTGATTCTTTTTTCCTTACACCTTGTGGATCATGTGCCACCTTCATGTATTTTCAATTTGGAGTCATGGTCTCAGCTTGACTCTAAAGTCAAGAGCTTCATTCCCTTTCTCTAAGAAACTTAGGTTTTGCAACTGATCAATAATCTTCACAATCATGTTTTCATTTTCAGTGTCCTCCTCGTGGTTCTTTTATCCTTATTCCTTTCATGATCATTTTGGGTTATCTCCCTAGAAACAGGGACTCTTACCTATATGTTTCTTAATAAACTCAAAGCTGTCCTTCATCTCACATGGTGTTTTTTTTTATTTTACAGCATTCCTGATATGGGATTTACACACATATTCCATACCATACATGTTACCTAATTTGATTATAAAAACAGATGGTCATGTTTTATTACCTCTACTTTCCAGCTGAGGAAAATTTTAATGTGTGATGTTATTTAGCTAAAAATGCAGACTCAGATTTAAGGTTGGGTCTTCTCTTTCTGTCCAAGAGCACTTATATTTAACTCTCATTAAAGTAAAAATTACATTGGGACTCTACATTAGCAAGACATGCACTTAAGTTGACTCAACAATGGAGGAGTAATCTCCTGTATTTGCAGGTAACATTTGCAGATAACATTTCCATTCTTATATGGCTTCCTTCTTCTTCTCCTGAATACATATTGGCAAGGCAAAATGAACTTAAGTTATTCCTTAAAAAATACAGATGCCATCTTTTGAGACTGTATATCTGGAATGCTCTGAAGATTCCAGAAAGAGAGAAAAGCCGCTGACTGGGATAGTCGTTGGGTGGTGGGGTAAAGGAGAACTAGCACATTCTCATGACCAACATCAGTTATATAAGACGAATATGTTCTGCAGATCTGGTGCACTCTAATGTGGACATAGTTTAAAATACTTTATTGTATACCTGAAATTTGCTGAGAAAGTGGATCTTAAATGTTCACACCACAACAATAAAAAGGAAATGGTGACTATGTGAGCTAATAAATATATTATTATTTCACACTGTATATATATATATACCTCAAAACATAACCTTTTATACCTTACATATACACAATTTTTATTTGTTAATTATACCTCAATAAAACTAGTAAAGAAAGAATTTAGTTGATCTAGTTAGTTATTTTAAATATATTCTTATATTCAATATTAAAATTATTTTTTAAGTTTTCTGGACAAAAAAAGAACTAATATGTTCTAGGTTGCCTACTATTTGATAGATAGTGACTACATGCTTTATGTTCATTAATATTTATTCTTGAGGAAATGTTCAAAGTAGGTATTAATGTTACCATTGTAGAGATGAGGAAATTGAGGCTGAGAGAGTTAATGTAATGTCATAGTGTGGTTTCTCCCAGAACAGATACTTAGAAAAATATTCCAGTGAAAGTAGTTTATTGGGAAGTGCAGATCACACCATTAGGGATCAGAGAAGAGATACAGAAAAGGGTATACTATTGAGCCAGTAAGTATCACAGTGACCAACTAAAATTTAAACCAAAGGGAAAACTATCAGAAATGATGAAAAACACATAAATTAGCAATCTCTATCTTCAGGAATAAGGGAGCTAGAGTCTTTGTAAATCAGCTCTCCAAGATCATTGGTTGAGTTGAGTGATAGTCCTCTGTGTGGAATGCACAGGTGACATGACTTTCTGCAGTTGCAATACAAGAGCCCTTAGGCACAGAGATGCAGATTCTGGCAAATAGAAACTGGCCCAAGCACACTAAGATCTGAGAAATATGGACAGGATAATGAAAATGTCATCTATGGTCTGTCATTCGCTCCACTCAGATCCAATCTTTGCTTCTTAACTGTGATGGACAGCCAGAAATTCTAGGAGAAGGAGGTAGAGGAGGAGAGAAAGAAGAGGGACAGAAGGTTCTGAGCTGCTAGTTACTATACCGTTGTCCACTGTGATTGCTGTTACTCATTTGTGGTTATCACTAGGCATGGACACGCTCTGAGATACTTCCATATTTGGATTGATTTTTTTCCCCAGAAATTCATAGCCAAATAAGGTCATTGAGAATGTAACTAGTTAAGTAAGGTCACATTGGAATAAACTGGTCTTCTTATTCAATATGACTGGTGTCTGTATGAAAAGGATGGTAGAATAGAAGGAAGGGAAGGTAAGAGGAAAGGAAGGCAGGAAGGAAGAAGGGAAGGAGAGATATAAAATAAAGGCCAAATGGAACAAGATACAGTTACTACTGTAATAGGGTTCACCTGAGATTCATCATCTCCATTAGTTACCACAAGTTCTATACTCCCTTCACCACTGGCCAGCACTTCTGTTGTCTAGATAATTGCCTGATGATGTAAGCCAGAACCTCCTGCCTGAAGGGTCTGACCCTCTAGTTACTGTGTTATTGTCCACTGTGATTCCTGTTACTCATTTGCAGTTATCATCAGCCATGGACACACTCTGAGATACTTCAATATTTGGATTGACTTGTTTCCCCAGAAATTCATCACCAAATAGGGTCATTGAGAATGTAACTAGTTAAGGTAAGGTCACATTGGAATAAAATGGGCCTCTGATTCAATATAACTGGTGTCTGCATGACAAGTAAAGTTCGCCACACACCTACAGTCACCTCATTTTCAACAAAGGTGCCAAGAGCATACACTGGGAAAAAGGCATTCTCTTCAATAAACCATGCTGGGAAAACTAGATATCTCTATGCAGAGGAATGAAACTAGATCCCTCTTTCTCACCACATACAAAAATCAAATCAAATTAGATCGAAGACTTGAATCTAAGACCTCGAACTATGAAACTACTACAAGAAAATATTGGGGAAAATCTCCAGGACATTGGTCTGGGCAAAAATTTCTTGAGCAATACCCCGCAAGCACAGGCAACCAAAGCAAAAATAAACAAATGGGATCACATCAAATTAAAAAGCTTCTGCACAGCAAAGGAAACAATAACAAAGAGACAACCCACAGAATGGGAGAAAATATTTGCAAAATACCTATGCATTGTTAATGAATTAACAACCAGAATATAAGGAGGTCAAATAATTCTATAGGAAAAAAAATCTAATAATCTGATCACAAAATGGGCAAAAGATTTGAATTGACATTTCTCAAAAGAAGACATATAAATAAGCATATGAAAAGGTGTTCACCATCATTGATCATCAGAGAAATGCAAATCAAAACTACAATGAGAGATCATCTCACCCCAGTTAAAATGGCTTATATCCAAAAGGCAGGCAATGACAAATGCTGATGCAGATGTGGAGAAAAGAGAACGCTCGTGCATTCTTGGTGGGAATGTAAATTAGTACAAGCGCTATGGAAGACACTTTGGAGGTTCCTCAAAAAACTAAAAACTGAGCTACCATATTATCCAGCAATCACACTCCTCGGTATATACCCAGAAGAAGAGAAATTGGTATATCAAAGAGACATCTGCACTCCTATATTTGTTGCAACACTGTTTACAATAGCTAAGAT
Source organism: Homo sapiens (assembly GCF_000001405.40). Lineage (NCBI taxonomy): Eukaryota > Metazoa > Chordata > Mammalia > Primates > Hominidae > Homo > Homo sapiens. The sequence goes on along the minus strand of NW_003871092.1, from coordinate 27,220 downwards.
TTAGCAGCAATGTAAGTGTCCACCAACAGATGAGTGGATAAAGAAAATGTGGTACATACACCAAATGAAGTATTATTCAGCCATAAAAAAGAATGAGATCAAGTCATTTGCAACAACATGGATGGAGTTGAAGATCATTATGTTAAGTAAAATAAGCCAGGCACAGAAAGACAAACACCACATACACATCCGGAGTAGGTTGCACAAAGACAGGTAGGTGCCTGTTATTCTTGAATCAGGCCTTGTAGGTGAATAGCCTTGACGCAGGCATGGATTCAGTTCATCACTGTGAACCTATCAGCATCATGCTCCTCCCCACAGACACTCCCCAAAGAACAAGCTGGGGAGAGACACCTGCCCTGACCTTCCAAGGCCAGTAGGAACTATCACATGACCACATGATGACCAGAGCAGGAAGGATGTCAATGATGTGACCACCTTCCTTTTATCTGAAACAAAGTTTCTAACAGTTATTCTCAATTAAGAAACAGATTAAGCCCTTACTCTCAGAAGATCTATAATATTTAGGAAACAACATCCTCTTCAATAATCCCAAACTGACTACGGAAAACAATGTAAACAACAACAAGGAAAAGTCCTGCTGATTGGTGGAAACTTTGGAGGCTTAGTGTATAGAAGGTCCAGATTGGAAGGAGTCATCAGATTCCGGGAAATTTACCTCTAAACAGGAGCCCACCCTCCACCCCTGACATCATGACCCAGTGTTGCTCCCCTTGCTGCCAGCCTATGTGCTGCAAGACCACCTGCTACAGGAGCATCTGCTGTGGGTCCAGCTCCCGCCCGCCTTGCTGTGGCCCAATTTGCTGTGCAATCACCTGCTACAGGACCGTCTGTGTGACCACCTGCTGCAGCCCACCCTGCTGCCAGCCCACCTACTGTGAGTCCAGCTGCTACCAGCCTTACCAATGAACTAACTCCCACTCCCCTGACTTTGTTGACAACCAACATACTGTTGCCAAACATTTGATGTGTTATATTGTTAAATTGTGAGGCTGCTTAGTGAAGTGGAGCTGGCTTCACTTTGATTTTTCTCTTCCTTATTTCCTATATATCAGAGTGCCAGCTGCTAGTCATCTTCATGGATCCTTGACATGAACTCAAGATCTCAGCCAAGGAAAAATTGTCATCCCCTTTTCCCTCTAACAATCTTAAAATATCAAATCCCTAAGACTGTTCTCTTAAGTCTCTGCAACTGATCAATATTGCTGCAAACGCCCAATATCAACCACGTTATATCAATGTACTCATTATTCCTGTGTCCTGCTTCTCACCTCCATAATCAGTTAGAATTATCTTCAAGGATCTAGAACTAGAAATACCATTTGACCCAGCAATCCCATTACTGGGTATATACCCAAAGGCTTATAAATCATGCTACTATAAAGACGCATGCACACGTATGTTTGCTGCGGCACTATTCACAATAGCAAAGACGTGGAACCAACCCAAATGTCCATCAGTGATAGACTGGATTAAGAAATATGGCACATATACACCATGGAATACTATGCAGCCATAAAAAAGGATGAGTTCATGTCCTTTGCAGGGACATGGATGCAGCTGGAAACCATCATTCTAAGCAAACTATCACAAGGACAGAAAACCAAATACCGCATGTTCTCCCTCATAGGTGGGAATTGAACAATGAGAACACTTGGACAAAGGGCAGGGAACACCACACCCCAGGGCCTGTCATGGGGTGGGGGTCAGGGGGAGGGATAGCATTAGGAGAAATACCTAATGTAAATGACGAGTTAACGGGTGCGGCAAACCAACATGGCACATGTATACCTATGTAACAAACCTGCATGTTGTGCACATGTACCCTAAACTTACAGTATAATAAAAAAATTATTTTAAAAAAAAGAATTATCTTCCTAAAGTCTTTCCTGTCATGGACCATACATTGGGGTTTTGTTCTGCACAGCTATTCCTTTAAAAGGCCTTGCATGTGTATTGTATTTCCTATTATCTCTTCTAATCTCATAGTAACCCCACAAGGTGGGCAAAGCAAAGACTATCATTTGCACATTACAAATGGGAAAAATCACTGGCCTCAGGTCATACAGTTAGAAATTGATAGAATTAAGTCCAATACCCAGATGTTCTGAATCTTGATCCAGGGCATTATTATTTAGATTTTAATACAAGTAGAAATAACTCTGGTGTCTGAGTTTTAGGGAAGGTGTATGATTTGAGTTGCTTGTTGACAAATGAAAATGAAATGTCTTGTACATGTAGGTCACTTTTCTACCTAAAAATGCAGAATACTTGAACAAAAAAGACTAAGAAACACCCTGCAATGCGCACAAGACACAGTTTCTGTGCTCCAAATGCTGGATCAACCTAGCTTCTCAATCAGAGGATTATAAGGGTAGTGCATATTTACAGAATCCTCAGAATTGAAGTAACTGAGCAATGGGTATATAATGCTTTGATCCAACCAGTGCCTCAATGTTGTGAGGCAAAGTTGAAGCAGAGGAGATTCAACATCAGAGTATTAGAAAAAGAAAACATAAGGATTTGAGAAAGAAAATAAAGGAAACTGGTCACTCTTAAAAAGTATACTGGATATAATGACAATAGACGTTATTGTAGTCCCCCAAAGTGGGAGCTAGACTTTCCGAAGAGCTGAACACCAAAGAGGATACCAAGATATTTCTTGAAAAAAAAGAACAGATACTGGCTCCAGGGGAAAAATAATATTCTGTGGCCTGAGCTATCACATAGTAGTTAGGTCTTAGGAAATCTAAGAAGGTGGAGGGATTTTCCAAAGAGGCTTCCATGTTGTCTGACTTGCTAAGTGCTTGCTCTCCTGATGCATTCAAGGATGAGCTGAGGCACTACCATTTACTGAGTAACTACAGGTATTAGTCTAGGTTTTTCTAATTCATAATCCACCAATGTTTTATTTTCCTCATTTCACAGATGAAGAAACAGAGGCTAAGGGAGATGAAGGAACTTGTTCAAAGTTGTACAGTTAACAGTTGACCTGGCTTCAAACACTAAGCTGTCTACACTACACTCACTGTGTGTGCTATGCTCCCTGCCCCTACCAGTCTAGAGACATAACCGGGTCTATGGAGTCTTGAATATGACAGCAAATTACTTGGTACCCTCACACAGTCTCATTTCCTTATTCTACCAATAGTTGGGACTTCGGGAGAGTGAATAAGAATAAAGACTTACATCTGGATATTAAAACAATCCTTTATTTAAATAAGATTTATTGAGCACTTACTGTGTGTTAAGTACTGTGCCAGGTGCTGTGATTACAGAAGTGAACGAGACATTCAACATCCTCACCTTTATTGTGCTTCGGGAAGAATACAAACAAGAGACAAAATTTATACAGTAGAAGTGAGGAAGGTGAGCCTATATTATTAATGATATAGGAAGGGTGGTTCATGACGACTGTATCTAACAGAATTGTATCTTAGCAACGAATCAGAGAGGGAAGGAAATAAAAAACTTCCATTTTGAACCCATGAATCAATTTACCAAGTAGAACAACAGGGGTGATACTGAAAGAACTCAGGTACAAAAATTCCCCAAAAATGTAAATGCAGAAACAATAAAACATGGTTGGAATATATTAAGTACTTCCCCCAAAGCCTGCAGCTTGTAGGTAGCAGAACAGGCATGATGCAAATACTCATCTATGTGATTTCGATCCTCATGGCCCAGACTTTCCTGCCTTCTTCCACAGTGGAAAACCTGTGCATGAACAAAGAAGGGAAGATGAACCCATGAGCTCTCTTTGTGTGGACATACTGCAGTCTTCCTGGCCAAACACAGGAAATTGATGATACATTGCAAAGGCAGATCACAAAACCAGCACACATGGGAGGAGAAGGGATGAAGGAACATCCAACAATCTAGCTATTTTGTGGGGACCTCAGAATCACTAAAATTGAGCAGAAGGTTCTTAGGCAACCAGGTAAACCACCTTGATCTAGATTTTAACAATGAGAAGGACTTGGTAAGCAAAGGTTAGTGATGATAAACTTGCTGCAAAAGGACCATGTAAAAATTTGTGATAGCAAGGCAAGGAAATGCTTGTTTGGCTGGAACTGCATTCTACAGAGCAGGAAGATAATTGGCTATTTACAGGAACATGAATGTGATTTTCCAGCAAAGGGCACTGGAATAGAGGATGGAGCTAAGGGTAGGGAAGCGCTCAGAAAAGCCATTCTGATTGCTTAGTCACAGATGCTTCTAATGAGGAAAAAGTTCAGGGGGTCTAGAGTGAGTACAGAAATTCTCTAAAAGCTCTTTAAAAGATCTTCCTAGGAATGGAACAGACCACCCCGGGTGTATGAATTTCCATTTACTAGACACTTAAGCATTGGATCTGGCAACACATGGCAGGAAGTTTATTAGGATTCCTTCCATGCCTGAGATTCTTTGAGATCCTTAAACACTCTGTCTTGCCCCATCATTATTTGATTAATTAATTGCTAACAGGTTGTTATTCTCTGAACTCCGTAAGCATTCACATACATAATGCTTTAAAGAAAGCATACACACTGTCATGATAATTGGCATTCCCTTGGAGATAAAAAAAAAAAAAAAATAAGGACTATCTCCCCAATGGCATGCAAGGTAGAATTCACAACCCTTGATAAATGTACCTGGTTCTGGCCTTTAGCCTTGCAGACTCAGAGACCTGATTTTGCTTACATTCTAAGGGTTAAGCCACGTCTTAGAGCAGACACCTGTTAGCCAAGCCCAAAAAGCAAGGATGCCTATTTATTAAATTACAGGAGAATTAAGTAACAGGAACTTCTAAAACACCACATGAGTAAGGAATCAGACAGGAAGTTATATAAACTAAATGTTGAATGGCATTTGACATGTTCGTTTCACAATAGTTCTCACCAATGGAAATTGAAAATTCATAGTCCCTCTCCTGTGGGCAGTTGCCTGGAGGCACACTGCCAACATTCACCCCAGCACTTGTCTTAACCCTGATTTTCCATGGTTCAACAATACTCTAATTTAACTTTCACATTTTTACATCTTCAATTAGACTTGAATCAATTCCTCAGACTTTGAATGCATACATCTTTTTAAGGTGACGCTACATAATTTGGTTTTGATCGTTTTGAACATAGGTTCCAAGTCTTGGATGATATCTGACTGTACCAATGCATTCTCATTCACACCATTGCATGGTGAGCATCCATGATGAAATTTATATTTGGTTTAGTTCATGTCTACCATCATATCTGTTGACTATTTGTAATATTTCTATTGCATGTCAGGATAACTTGGGCTTTGTTTATCTTTCTTATCTCACTAAGTCTTTAAAAAAAGATTACTGTGTGATACAGAGTTGTCATCATAGTGATAATGTAGAATTATCATCAGAGTGTTGGGTTGACTCTTATGATTTTGTGTGTGTCTTTGTTCATCTAATTATAATCTAACATCACCAACCTGTTATGAGTGACACACCACATACTTCTTCCTTCCTCCCTGCTGTGAGTTATAGTGGTGATTGGACTATAATTAATTTATTCTTCTTAGAATTTGAATTACACATAAAAGACAATCCCTAGGTTAGGCCCTCTAGTGCAATGTAATATTGTTATGGAAAGAACAGGGATTAATTTCAGAAAAACCAGCCTGTGTTTCCTACATTCAAAATAGGGAAAACTCGGCTCTTTCATCACTGGACACCTTCTCCTTGGAACCTCTTCTGACAGATGGTTCAGATAACACAGCTTGGGATTTTTCTTGTGAATATGCAGGAAACAAGAATGAATGTTATATTCTAAGATCAAACGCTGGGATAAATTTAATTAAATTGTAGGTTTGGAGATAACTAATGCAGAAAATATAGGATTAAAAATCAGAAATAAAATTAAAATGATTCCCACTTAAATAAACAAATATAGACATTATTCTAGAATATAAATCAAGAAAGCCTAAATTGGATAGATTGTATAAACTCGCTAAGGAAAGCATGCAAGCCTTATCCATCCTTTATTATCACTGCGTTCCACAGTGGCTGTGGCCTGTCCCAGACCAGAAAACCTTCAGATCCTCTTTCTAAACAAAAGCATTCCTTATGCAAGATAAGGACAAGGTAAAAACCAAGCTCTTCAGCCCCAGTCAGATTCCTGCTTGGAACAAAGATTAAGATGGAAAGGGTCAAATTTCAATAATCTTCTGCCCTTTAAGGTTGATTCCTAGCAAAATCAACCCAGTTTTTTCCAAGCATTCCCCTTTAAGTGCCCAATAGTAATAAATATAGCAAAGCATAAGTATACTTAATATATAAAACAAACCACTCACTAAGACCAACATTAAGTCCACTATGAAAGAACTGTACCTACACAAATAGGTGATGATAAGAATATAAGGGATTTCATTTAAGATCTACTGGTAAAATTATGATTAAGACATAAGAAAGGAGGACTTCTTAATATTACTTATATATTCAAAGAATAATATTTGAACAGAATTGTGTAGAAGGACAGCTGGAAAGGGGAATAGTGGCCCCAAATGGATGTAAACAGCATAGGAGAGAATTTAGTTTCTTTAAATGAGTTCTAGTTTCCTGACCGTGGACAAACTACTTCTCAGATACTGAGACATCTTCCAAGTGAGAACATTGAACACTGAGCTCTTTTTTTTTTTTTTTTTTTTTTTTTTTTTTGAGATAAGTCTCGCTCTGTCACCAGGCTGGAGTGCAGTGGTGCGATCTCGGCTCACTGCAACCTCCACCTCCAAGGTTCAAGCAATTCTCCTGCTTCAGCCTCCTGAGTAGCTGGGATTACAGGTGCCCGCCACCATGCCCATGTTTCACCATGTTGGCCAGGATGGTCTCGATCTCTTGACCTCATGATCTTTGGGAGGCCCACACTGGCCTCCCAAAGTGCTGGGATTACAGGTGTGAGCCACCACACCCAGCCAAGAACATTGAACTCTTATTGGTGATGTTTGAAGAATCGTGGGGAACCTAAAATTTGGGAGACTGGATCTATATTAGCATCAGAGAAAATTTTCATTCAATCTGAACTGATCAAAATAAGGATAGCTCCCTCTCCTTCAGGAAGCATTGAGCATGCCAGCATTTGCAAAATATATACCCGAACTTGAATTGCAAGAGCAGTTTTTTCCTTTTTGGCCCTGAAAATAACTTACAACATCCAAGAAGACTTTAAACAATCTATCTTTTACCTATTGCACAATTTGTTATTATACAATAGGGGGCTTATTGTTATTATTGTTGTTTGTAATGGTATTTCTAGGGCTTTCTATATTTCAAATGACTGACTCTTAATTCTGTTTAGTGCTGAATCACTGTTTTCCTCTTTCGTTTTTCTTTTAACTGGTAAATATTAACTTCCTTCATACAGCTCTGTCCTAAGACAGGTACAGCTAGCTTATTGGTGACAGCCGGACATGCTTGCACTGAATGACCGATGGTTTCCACTCTTCTTCTTTCCTCCTCTTTCCTAGTAGCTCAGTTCAATAAGGTTAAGCCCTTTTCTGATGGTTTGAGATACATTTAAAATGAATTTCTTATATTTATTTTTCTGGTGAAATAATATGTTATCAGGGAAACAATAGGGATTTGGCTTTTAAAAATTCATCATAGTCTTGTTAAAAAAAAAATTATTCAATGGCACTTGTGAAAGCCTGGTAAGGGAGACTTTATTCAGGAACACTGCAGTAAACAAAGGAACCACCATAACAGGGTCTTGCATTGGGAGACAGAGATTGGACTCATCTCCTAACATAGCATGGGCAAGTGAGAATTTACAGCCAAGGAGCAGGGTGGCGGTCAGTGGATGGAAAATTACTAAGAGGAAGCATCACCAGTAGGGAAATTTTGGCTAAACTGACCTAAAAGTGCTCTTGCTGAAGACAGGCGAGGGTGATCAAACATCACTTGGAGAATGGTGGCAGATAAGAGATCTGATCCGCTATTAAGGGTGATCAGATATCGAGGATGGGGAGTTCTTGCTAAACCTATTTAGCAGGGCTCTTTGCTAAAATTTTACAAAACTGGATTTTACAAGGAAGTGCACCCATGGGCCTATGAGAAGGTTCAGAAGCTTGACTAAACTATGGACAAGGAAAAAAATCTTCATTGGTCCTTACTGCCTTTTTAAAGAAACATTGGACTTCATGGCCACTAGTGAGGGTTTGGATTTAACTAATGAGTATCACTAGAAATTGGACATGCATGAGATTCACCATCCCTGTCCACCACCTCTGCTGATTGTCTTAATAACTGGTTAATTTTGCCACCTCTAAAATATCTTTCCTGCACATTTCTTCATTGTATTTATAATTTGAATTATCTTCTTTGCAACTAAGGCATTTCCCAATTTATCACCTAGTAATCTATACTCATCTTGCATATCCTTTCGTGACCTAGATTATGTGTGCAGTATATCCTTCATAAGCTCTTAAATTTAAAGGATATTTTATATTTTACAAAGCTTTTTCCCATTTTGGCCTGGCACAGTGGCTCACACCTGTAATCCCAGCACTTTGAAAGGCCAAGGCAGGAGGATCATTTGAGGTCAGGAGTTCGAGACCAGCCTGGCCAACATGGCAAAACCCGTCTCTACTAAAAATACAAAATTAACCAGGCTTGGCAGTGTGCACCTGTATTCCCAGCTACTCGGGAGGCTTAGGCACGAAAATCACTTGAACCTGGGAGGCAGAGTTTGCAGTGAGCTGAGATCGCGCCACTGCACTCCAGCCTGGGTGAAAGAGCAAGACTTTGTCTCAAAAATTAATTAATTAATTAATATTTTTAAAAAAACAAAGTTCTTTCACATCTATTCCCATGCCACTAAGTCAAGAGACTAATTTTTAAGACTTCGGGAAAGATCTATGGATCCCATCCATGCTGACTTAGAGCATAAGCAAATAGTTCATTTAAACAGCAACCCTTTAACCAGGCACAGTGGCTCACACCTGTAATCCTAGCACTTTGGGAGGCCAAGGTGGGTGGATCACTTGAGGTCAGGAGTTCAAAACCAGCCTGACAAATGTGGTGAAACCCCGTCTCTATTAAAAATGCAAAAAATTAGTGGGGTGTGGTGACACGCACCTGCAATCTCAGCTACTCGGCAGGCTGAGGCAGGAGAATCGCTTGAACCCAGGAGGCGGAGGTTGCAGTGAGCCAACATCAAGCCACTGCACTCTAGACTGTGCGACAGAGCAAGACTGTGTCTAAAAAGAGCAATCCTTGGATTTTGTTTGCAACAGCTCTAGACTATTTATCAGGAAATCACTACCATCAAATATTTTTCCAGTTCCAGCTAGGTTCAGGTGTTGCCAAGAAGTTTCTGATGAAGTGGGCTACAGGAGGGAACTTACTTCTAGATGTTATAGAACTATTGTTGTAAGATGAATTTATTTAGGTGGGCAAACTGATGAGACCAACATGAGTAACACCAAATGCCGTACACCACGCAGATGGGCAAGTTTCATGTTATACTGGGGACTCATGGGCTCATTACACCCATCTTTTGGGCCATTTTTATGTCTCAAATATCAGTTTTTATTCTGTTGTCTTAACTTATAGCCACTGAGATAACTCCCTACTGATATTTAGTTTCCAAGTTGACCTTTACAAGGCTGCCTTAACTTTGCCCCTTAACATCCTTTATCAAAGCCCATTACACGAATCCCACATTTGAGATTTCCAAAATAAGACAATCATGCATAGCTTTTCCTCAGGAATGGAACTTCTCAGGACAAGTCTGACGTGTACCCTAGTTATTAAATAGATAGGGAAACAATCAGAAAAATGACAGGGGAAATTTCATTCTAATAGACACTGGGAGAAAAGATGGCTTATGTTGACTTAATTCTTTTTAAAATACTTTACTGTGTGTGATTAGTATCCTAAGGCCTTTTAAAATACTTTTCAGTATACTATAAAGATGCCAGAGGGAGTTATAAGGAGCTATGGGCTGGGATTTGATTGAAAAAGTCCAAGTAGGTCAGGCGTGGTGGCTTGTGCCTGTAATCCCAGCACTTTGGGAGGGCAAGGCAGGCAGATCACTTGAGGTCAGGAGTTCAAAACCAGCCTGGCCAACGTGGTGAAACCCCATCTCTACTTAAAAAAATAAAAAATAAAGGCCAAGTAGAGAATACGAGTTTGAGCCATATGAAGTTTCCATTTTTGTAGATCAAAAATAACTGCATAGCTACAACTTCAAAGGTTTAGCCTTAGGAAGAAAGATTCGTGAACAAGTCATTAAACAGGGATGGTAGGAGTCCATGAGAAGAATGAAAGAAGCTCCAGATGCTTTTTGGTTGGAAAAAAACAAAAACAAAAACAAAAACAAAACAGCAGAAAACATGGTGAAAATGTGTTTTTTAATGAAATGGTTGTAAACAAAGTGAGTATGCCATTAAACAGGAAAAGGCCTATTGCTTTGTACTGATAATCTTGTACTGTGCTTGCGATATAGAAATCAACGCTCCTCTTATTTCTCTTTAGTCTTTTTTTTTTTTTTAATAGACAGAGTTTCGCTCCTGTTGCCCAGGCTGGAGTGCAATGGTGCGATCTCGGCTCACCGCAACCTCCACCTCCTGGGTTCAAGCAATTCTCCTGCCTCAGCCTCCCAAGTAGCTGGGATTACAGGTGCCCACCATGCCCGGTTTCTTTCTTTCTTTCTTTTCTTTCTTTTCTTTCTTTCTTTCTTTCTTCCTTTCTTTCCTTCTTTCTTTCTTTCATCTTTAGTAGAGACAGGGTTTCACCACATGGGCCAGGCTGGTCTTGAACTCCTGACCTTAGATGATCCACCCGCCTCAGCCTCCCAAAATGCTGGAATTACAAGCATGAGCCACTGTGCCCAGCCTTTTCTTCAGTCTTTCTAATGAGAATAGTAACCAACCATCTGTAAAGAGAAAGAGAAAACCAAGATTAGGGCATAATAAGCAGTAACCAGTAGTTTGTCCCTGGGGAGGGGGATGTGGATGGGGTGTTTGGAAACTAGGACTTCCCATTTTTTTTCCTACATTGTTTTCCCCCTCAAGCACAGGTTACTTTTATAACAAAAGAAAAATTGAAATGTTTCCTTCTGAACTGAAATGAGAAAACTTGCAACAAGAGCGACAGATTTTAATTCCTTTTGATCTGAATAAAGAGAGCTATAAGCACTAAAAGAAGTTTAATATGAAGTAAGCTCCTCAGTGTGATGTTGCATTTTTTGTATGATGCATTTGTATCCACCCTTCATCCAATTCATGATCCATGAACTGTAAATATGTCAGTATCTGGCAAGGAAAATCTGGGCTTATAAAAGGAACCTGGCCTCCTTATTTCAGGCTGAGAGCAGGGATTGAGAGAAGATCTGAGATCTCCCGGTGGCGTATGGCACAAAGACTGTGAAGGTTATGCTAGAAACACTCTTATTTGGTGTCTATCTTTTCAGACAATAGGAAATAATTGAATTGGAAAAATGACTAAACATTGATAAGGACAAATCAATTTTGCAAATGCTTAGATTCTCTAAATAAATTCATGTCACTGCATGCTGTGCACATTAGGTCCCAGAGCAGTTAGAGACTGAAAATAAACCACATATTGATATTTGAGGAATGTTAGAGAACAAGAGCTACTCAACGTGTTGAGACAAGCAAAGACCATCCCAATTTTTCAAGTTTCTGCAAACCATACACCAATCAGCTTGATCTTATCTTAGAAAAAGACTTTAGAATAAATTGTTCAGATGATCTTTTGTGAATGCCAAAAAATAAAACATGGTACCACTTAGACCAACCCATGTAAAATAACTTTTTATTTTTGCTAGATTCATTGATAAACGAAATTCAGTACAAAATGAATCTGGATTTCAGCAGAGCATTTCAAAAGGACTCTCATCGTAGCTTATGAAAACATTGCAGAAAGGTGGATTCAATTCAGTGACAATTTGCCAAGACATGTTTTATTCTAATGTCACTGTCTTACTTTATCCAATAATAATAAGAACTTGATCCTAAATTCAAACTGAGGCCCTGGATAAGAGATGGGCTAGAGGGGCAGATAGGCAGACAGTTTGGGGCAGACTCACTGGACAGTCTTTTCTGCAGATGCTCAGAGCATCTAGAGATTGCTAGGAGGAGACAGTATTGTTAACTTGGACTCAAACTAACAAGCCATACTTCTGAAGCTAATATTAAACCTGAACCTGAAGAATTCCCTCTTCCAGGCAGTGGCGGTCAGGACATCATTATGGCTGGAGTAGAAATCTGAACTTAGAAACAGGCATTCAAAAGCAGGAACATACTGGGCGCAGGGGTTCATGCCTGTAATCCCAGCACTTTGGAAGGCTGAGGCGGGCAGGATCACCTGAGGTCAGAAGTTCGAGACCAGCCTGGCCAACATGGTGAAACCCTGTCTCTACTGCAAATACAAAAATTAGCTGGGCATGGTGGTGGATGCCTGTAGTCCCAGCTACTCAGGAGGCTGAGGCAGGAGAATCGCTTGAACCTGGGAGGGGGAGGTTGCAATTAGCCGAGATTGCACCATTGCACTCCAGGCTGGGTGACAAGAGCAAAATTCGGTCAAAAAAAAAAGCAGGAACAAAGGATATCAATACAGGGACCAGAAAACCTTTGAGCAGTGGTAGAGGTTGCCCCTACAGGAGGACAAATGCCACCTCACTAAATAGGGACTTAGACATTCAAATACCAGCACATTTCCTCTTCAGGGCGGAGATCTCTGTAATCCCAGCACTTTGGAGGCTGAGGCAGGCAGATCATGAGTTCAGGAGATCAAGACCATCCTGGCTAACACGGAGAAACCCCGTCTCTACTAAAAATACAAAAAATTAGCCGGCCGTGGTGGTGGGCACCTGTAGTCCCAGCTACTCAGGAGGCTGAGGCAAGAGAATGGCGTGAACCCCGGAGGCGGAATTTGCAGTGAGTGGTGATCGCGCCACTGCACTCCAGCATGGGTGACAGAGCGAGACTCTGTCTCAAAAACAAACAAACAAACAAAAGAATAGTATTTAATTATATCATCAGGCAGACATGACCTGGAAAATATGGACTATACTCAAAAGAAGAGGATGGCTATTCCCTATCCTGTACTGGCTAACAGATAATTTGATCGTGAGTTAGGCTCTGATCATGCCCCTTTTAAAGGAATATTGAATAATTGGAAAGTCTTGCAAGTAGAGCAACTATCCTGAGAATAGGACTGGAATTCAAGTCACATAATGAAAAATGATGGTATCCAGTGATAATTATCCCAGAGAAAAGAAGATCTTTGGGGGAAGGGAAAGACTTAATGTAGAAGATGGATTAGATGTGTCCTGTGTGGCCTTATAGGGTCAAGAAACAAGACGACCGATTTAAGCAAAAATAAGTGAAAAGTCATTCCTGGAGCTGACTAGAGAGACACATGTTTTCTTGGGAAGTCGTGTGCCCTATTCTCTGGAGACAGGAAAACACAGACAAAAAAACTAATAGGGATGTCACAGAATGCTTGCGTAAATAAATGGGTAATTTGATCAACTGATATGCAAGATTCCTTAAGTCATTAAGGATTTATGAAGGCATGTCTCATGCCTGTAACCCAGCACTTTGGGAGGCTGAGGCAGGCAGACCACTTGAGGTCAGGAGTTTGAGACCAGCCTTGGCTAACATGGTGAAACCCCATCTCTAGTAAAAATACAAAAATTAGCCAGTTGTGGTGGCATGCACTTGTAATCCCAGCTACTTGGGAGGCTGAGGCTGCGGCTGCAGAATTGCTTGAACCCAGGAGGCGGAGGCTGCAGCGAGCCAGGATTGCACCATTGCACTTCAGCCTGGGCGACAGAGTGAGACTCTGTCTCAAAAAAAAAAAAAGACTTATGAAAGCAATGATCATACAAGTTCTGACCATTGTCCTGAATTTTAACCAAGGTACCCGTCAGAGTAGGAAACCTACATCTCAGAGTGGTTTTGCCATTACCAAAGCCATTCTTGACTTTAGTTGTTTTCAAAGTTTACACCACCCGATTTAACTGCCATTATCCTTCCCATTGGCTGTTTTCATCAGTTTCCAGGCAATTCCACCCATTTATTTGTGGGTCACTGTCTTTCTTTTCTCCTCTAGGCCTGTCTCTTTTTTTTAGTGAATTCAACTTCCATAAGGATAATTCATCAAACATCTTGATCTCTCAGTTCGTTGACCTCTTCACCAGCCATGAGTTTTCCCCTTCCTCCATCCCAGTCACTCATTACCAGAATAATTTCCTGATCCTCATTATCACAAAAATGGAACCAGATGAGAAACTAACCAGAGTATTTCTTTCCATAAGATTTATTACACTTAGTTAACAACTTTCTGCCAAACCATCCTTCAGAGCTAAAGGGAATACCATATACAGTAATAAGGAAAGGATGTTTCCTTCCCAAAGACAGGAATTGTTGCAAAACTGATATATTTAAAACCCCAGAGGAAAAAAAATTGTATTCTTAGATTTGGGGAAACTTGTCCCTACATAGAAAGCCTCCAGGTGATTCTAGCCCATAGCCATTTGGATATTTCCAACCAAAGTCCAAGACATCTCAGATTGTAGACAAGCTCTCTCTGCTGTGCACTGGCTGAATTCCTGACCCACAGAATCCACGAGCATATTGGAAACTGGAGAAAGGAAAATTCTTGCTATGCAGTGGCAGAAAGTACTCTGTCATCCGCAGTTTTGAGGCAAAAGTAGAAAGGTTCCTGGTGAACTGAGTGATCTAACTAAGGAAATTTCCAACTAAAGTCTTGAAGGTGTTCTTTGATTTCTTCTTGCTGACTATAATAAAATGTGAGAAGAGAAAGATAAATTGAGAGAAGGGCTGATTAAAAAAAAAAAAAAGGATCCTGGACAGTATTGTTTGTTTTGAAAATTCTCAGCCTCTCCAATGGCAAATAATGCTAAAGTTTAAAAATGACTTCTAAGCAAATATCAAATTGAAGACAATGCCAGAGAAATTCAGATATACCAGAAATCATGCCCTAAAGATAAAGCTAACGTGTGGCTATAAGATTTTTTAAGATCTGAGAAAGTCAAAAATTAGAAAATTATTTTCATTTCAAAAATGAAAAATGGGGAACAGCTACATACAAAAGCCCCTCTAAAGATATTAAGCGAGGCCGGGCGCAATGGCTCAAGCCTGTAATCCCAGCACTTTGAGAGGCCGAGGCGGGTGATCACAAGGTCAGGAGATCGAGACCAGCCTGGCCAATATGGTGAAATCCCCTATCTACTAAAAAATACAAAAATTAGCCGGGCATGGTTGTGGGCGCCTGTAGTCCCAGCTACTTGGGAGGCTGAGGCAGGAGAATCGCTTGAAACAGGGAGGCGGAGGTTGCAGTGAGCCAAGGTCGCCGCCACTGCACTCCAGCCTGGGTGACAGAGTGAGGCTCTGTCTCCAAAAAAAAAAAAAAAAAAAAAAATATTAAGTGAGAACCTCACAGACACTCTCGGATAAGTCAAAGAGGCTTCTAGGAAACTTAAGGGCATTGTCCTCAGCTATTACATCAGGGGTCCAAGTGTTTATCTCTAGATGATCTGTGGTAGTAACTTTTGTCTAATAGAGTAAACTCCAAGAAGATTCACAGGAGAACCACAAATTTTTTCTAAAAATTATATATACAAACAAATTGCCAGCTTGAACAGAGGCATGTCTCACATGGTGGCAGACAAGAGAAGAGAGCTAGTGCAGGGAAACTCCCCTTTTTAAAAACATCAGATCTCGTGAGACTCATTCACTATCACGAGAACAGTGTAGGAAAGACCCACCCTCATAATTCAATCACCTCCCACTGGTTTCCTCCCATGACACATGGGAATTGTGGGAGTTACACTTCAAGATGAGATTTGGGTGAGGACACAGTCAAACCATATCATTAGGTTAGGCTGTAAAGGGACTGTGACTTATATATATATATTATATATATATATATTTTATACTTTATATATATATATTTTATAATATATATTTTATATATTATATATCTATTTTTTATACTTTAAGTTCTAGGGTACATGTGCACAATGCGCAGGTTTGTTACATATGTATACACGTGCCATGTTGGTGTGCTGCACCCATTAACTCGTCATTTACATTAGGTATATCTCCTAACGCTATCCCTCCCCCAACATACCAGGCCCTGGTATGTGATGTTCCCCTTCCTGTGTCCAAGTGTTCTCATTGTTCAAGTCTCACCTTTCTCTTCGCTTCCTCTGGGAGAATCCAGATGCTGTGCTATGAGGACAATCAGCCAGAGTATGGAGAAGCCCATGAGGCAATGAACTGATATCTCTGGCTAACAGTTGGTGTGAACCAGTGGCCTTCCAGTGTCCACATAAATGAGCTTGGAAGTGAATCCTTCTCTAGTTGAGCCATGAGATGACCGCAGCCCCAGCCAACACCTCACCAACCATCTCATAAAAGACCCCAAGCTGTAGGTATCTAGCTAAGCCACATCTAGTTTTCTAACCCACAGAAACAGTGAGATAATAAACTTTGTTGTTTCAGCCACTAAGTTTTGAGATAATTGTTATGCAACAATAGGTAACTAATATAATGAAACAGGTCCATGTATCAAAATGCATAGTTCTTAAAAGCAATAATGAAATTTAAAAAGTAAATTGCATAATTTTACATCACATACATAAATTCTTAAATCTGCAATCCTTCATACTAGGTCTTGTTTAAATACTTTATAAATATAAGATGTTTATATTTTTATATAAATTAACAGTGACTGGGAGAATATACAATAAAATTATGATAGAAGTTATATCTGAGATGAAAAAAGGGAAATAAGACTGAAGAGGGGACTTCAACTTTACAAGCATAATGTTTCATTTCAATTAATTTTTTAAAGATCCAAAGCAGAAGTAAGAAAATGCCAATTTGGAGAGGCAGGTTCTTGTAATATTTTTCTCAAAATTTTCTTGTATTTTTAAAATTGTTCCCTGCCCTGAAAATAAGTGTAAAGAAAGATTTAGTTACATGTTCAGGCTTGGCAGAACATTGCTTATTAGAGGAGATTCAGATGTTTTATGGACAAGCCCTAGCAAACTTAAAAGGAGAAAATACATGCTATGTCATTTAAACTGTTGCCAAGCATGGTTAAAGACACAAAGCTTCTCAACTCATGTTTCACATTTGACATGTTTAGAATGTGAAGTTTGCATGTTGGCAGATGGCCGGTAAACACACTTGCCTATAAAACTGAGAAATCTGTCATTGGGACAACAAAAACTATGAGGTAGATGGGTAAAAAAAAAACTATTATAAAATGAAATTTGAAGTTTCAGGTGTCTTGAGAATCCTGGTATCAATCAACAAATTATTAAAGTTAATATAACTCCTAAACAATGTCTGCATCCTCTTGTAAGAAGCATTCTTGAAAAGTCTATGCAATATGAGATGAGGTGCATCTGCTTCCCAGAGCCATATCCTTCCTCTAGCATGATGGAAATCTCCATGGAAGGTGTGGGAGAGAGAATTTGAACAGGGTGTCCATCAAAATGTCATTTCTGGAAGACATTCTATCCACGGTAATTCCTTTGTGGTGTCAAGTTCCCTCTCTCTCCTTCTTCCTTTTTAAAAAAATTTTCTTTTGGGACCTTAGTTATAAATAATTGAATTATTATCATCTGTGATTTTTGCATGGTCCCTCTCTTATTTATTTTTTATGTACTTATAAATCAGTTAATTTACTTCTTCTTCTCCCTTTACTCCCTTCGTTTCCTATAGGCCACTATGCTATTCTGTCTAATGTATATTCAACGCATATTAAATTTATTTAATGGATTTGTATATATCCTTATAAAGTATTGTTCAGTACACATATACTTTATGTAAATAGCAATCAGTAATATATCTCATTCTGGTTTGTCATTAAGCAGAATTTTTAAAAATCCATCTATGCTACAGTGTGTATATGTAATCTATTGTTATTAATTCCTGCATGATACTCCATGAAGAGGATCACCGAGTTGCCTACCCACTTTCACAGTGTTGGACACCAGCTTTCCTTTGACGTTTTTGCCACCATAGGGATGCTATAGTGAACATCCACATGTACACCTCCCTGAGGACCTGTGTGAGAATTTTCTGGAAATACACACTCAGGTGTTGGATTGCTGGATCATGGAGCATCACTTACATAATTTACATAAATAGTTTCAGATTGTTCTTTAGAGTGGCCAAACAAGCCAACAATCCCATTAGCAATGCAGGAAAATTCCTGTAAATTCCCACTCCCACCAACACTTGGCATTATATAGCACAGGAGTCAGAAAACTATGGCCCATTGATACAGGAGCGGGGCAGGGAAGTGCTGGGAGAAGAAGGGTGGGTCCCTGGTGAGGACTCCACCCCTACTGTGCCCACGGACCTAGGGAACAGGCATTTCTGAATGAATAAGAACAGGCATTTCTGTTTTTGTGCCCAAACGTTGCATTTCCCAAAACCACCCTGGCCCACCACGCCCTCATCCTGTGCCTAGTGGGAAGAGACACAGGCAGCTGGACATCCGAGAGGAGCAAATCGTCAGAAGAGCACACCGACAGGCAGCGGCAGACGCCAGCAGGACGGCAGGCCATCGACAGGGGGAACCATAGTGAGTTTGTCGGGGGCGGGATGAGGGAAGCCTGGCTGAGCAGCCCAACTCCAGGGGAAAACCACCTTCCCACTCCATCCCCCTTCTGGCTCCCCCGTCTGCTGAGAGCTACTTCCACTCAATAAAACCTTGCACTCATTCTCCAAGCCCATGTGTGATCCGATTCCTCCAGTACAACAAGGCAGGAAACCCTGGGATACAGAAAGCCCTCTGTCCTTGCCATAAGGCAGGGGGTCTAATTGAGCTAACTAACACAACCCATCTATGGACGGAGGCTAAACTGAAAGAGTACCCTGTACACACACCCACTGGGGCTTCAGCTGTAAACACTCACCCCTAGACGCTGCCGTGGGGTCAGAGCCCCAAAGCCTGCCCATCTGCATGCTTCCCCTAGAAGTGTGAGCAGTGGGGCACGGAAGAAGCGAGCCACGCCCCCGTTGCACGCCCTGCGAGGGGAACAAGGAAACTCTTCCCGTCTCACCATGAGCCAAACAGAGCCCCAGCCTGTTTTTACAAAGTTTTATTAGAACCCAGCCACACTCATTTGCTTACATATTGTCTATAAATGTAATGATATAATGCAATGATACAACGGCAAAATTCAGTAGTTGCAACAGAGACCATGTGCCCCACAAAGCCTAAATTATGTATATCTGTCCCTTTACAGGATAAGTTTGCTGGGCTCTGATATAGCACTCTATTTTTTGCAAATCTAATACCTGTAAAGTAATATGTAATTGTTATTTTAATTTTGAAATCTCTGAGAAATAATACTTTTGAGAATTCTTTCACAGGCTTACTTAAGGATTCATCTTCCGTGAAGTTCCATTCATGTCTCAAGAGAGGTTTTGCACAGGGTGTCCACCCAAAGATCGTTTCTGGGAGACATTCCATCCATGGCACTTCCTTTGTGATATCAAGTTCCCTCTCTCCCCCTCCTCCTTTTTGTTTCTAATTTTCTTTTTGGACCTCAAAATTAGTCAATCACATTTCTTATTTTATGGCATACTAAAAAGATATCCTTCCAAATCTCTTCCCCATCAGTTCCAGAAGTACAAGAGGCTTCAGTTTTAATCAGTTTGAGAATATTTAGAACCTCACAGAACACATCAACAAACTCACAAGATCATGTAAATAAATGAGCCCTCAGAGGTAGAATAAACTAACTTCTTCGTGTTATAGATTAGCACCCTGGTGTTACATAAGGTCATACAGTAAATAAGTGGCCAGGATGCAACTCAAGCCTTCTCCTTTGAGCCGTGGTCTAGTGCTTTTTCCTCACCACCACCATAGAAGTCCTCCTCTGAGTTGCATTTCCAAGCAGGTCATAAGGCAAATGCCCATACTCTTGTCCTTCAGTGACCTTGATGTCTCATTATTCCCGGGCTCTTTTGGTTAGTTTTCCTTCATCTGTAAGGTTTTTTTTAGAATGTCCCACACATATTGGCAAGACCTATTTAACTACTGAGAACCTCAAATCACAGTGATTGAGAGGACTGGAACGAGAGATGCTCAGCCAGTGACCATCAGGTAAGTTTATGAGCAGATCCTAAGGTCCCTCCTCGGGTTGGGGAGAAGGCCCGATCTGGGAGAAAGTCAGGGCACTGGTCATAAAGACATAAGGACAGAAGTCCAACCATTTAAACTGGGACAGGAGTCATCCAAAGGGCAGGGGGGAACAAGAGGGTGATATCAGCTGGGCCAGTTAGATGGGGAAGGCTAAAATGCTAAAATCAGTCTTTTAGTGCACTTTACTCAGGTTTGGCTAGGCATGTTTTATAGGCAATTGTAAATCATGGAGCAAATAAATCAACCTTAAGTGCAGCCATACAACTAAGTTGAAATGTGGTGTGTGTCTGTGTGTGAGTGTGTGTGTGCATGTATGTGTGTGCATCTGTATCTGAGTGTGTGTGTGTGTACCTGTATGCATCTATATGTGTGTGCATGTGTGTGGGTAGAAAAGGTACTGAAGGCAATACCCATACATAGTTAGAAATAAAAGGAAAATACCCATTAGAAGACTAGAACAGATCTAGCTACTTGAACTGTTGAAATGATAAGCCCACCTATATCTAGGGATTCAAGAAGCATTCAATGCTTCTTGAATTCAATTCAAGAAGAGATTCAGTGCTGACATTAGTCAATTCAACTGCAGGTAGAAATTCTCCACCTGGACCCTTCCATGTTCAGGTGCTAGATTTTGTTCTTATGGCCATCCCCCTCTTTTTTGACCCAGAACCTTCTTTCAAGACTACGACCCTTGTGATTCTAAAACTGGGGATAAAACAATTAATAGTCTCTCTACAGATCCAAAGTATACCTCAGTGACAGAAAAATGTGAACTATGAAGATTTGTTTGCTAGTTACCAAATTATTGCTGCTCACCTACAGGTACACCCTTCATTGCCTGCTCTATGATAATACAAAGGGATCCTATGAATATTTCTCCTTAGCCAGCTGACACAATGTCCCAGGCAGGAGAATCGCTTGAACCCAGGAGGCAGAGGTTGCGGTGGGCCGAGATCACGCTCTTGCACTCCAGCCTGGGCAACAAGAGTGAAACTCTGTGTCAAAAAAAAAAAAAAAAAAAAAAGAATCTTAAATGAATTAACCCTAAGCTATTCTCTATGGCCAATACCTCATGTTTGTTTTCATCTGTGGCTTTCCAGAACCATTTTTGTTGTTGGCTTCCTGTCTACTCACTATAGGGAAAATGAGCCCACTCAGCTCAAAAGAACTCTTGGTGGTGAAAATTTTGGAAGCCAGTGAACTGTTTGCCCTTACTCTCGTCCAGCTGGAGAATCTATAATCCTAGACACTAGCTACCCTTGCAGACCAATGCAGACCCACTGACTTAGATGACTCAGGCTCATTGTGTTCAAATGTGACCTGAAGGAAATCTACATAGAGGTGTGTGTAGGAATGAAAGCACTCCAGGAGTCTTATTTATTATACTTAACCAGTCACATTTTTATTAGCAGCTGGCAGCAACGAGGTCTTCTGAAAGACCAGGCAGCATCAAGAAAGAGAAACAAGAGAGGGTTTGCTAAAGTGAAATGAATTGACATCATCAGGAAATGCAAGCAGCAGTGTGGTAGTCCATGGTTGCTGAAAGGTTATTCTCGGTTAAGAAGGATCTCTTCGTGCCTGGACAAGTTCCCTGGTCAGCACCTGGAGAGAATGTGAAGGTGGAATCAGGGTAAAGTTAGAAAGCAGGCAGCATTTGTACTCGGTGGGAGGCAGGCACCCAGGGATGGCTATGCATTTATAGACAGCCGCAGACCCTCAGAGGAGGTGTGAAGAGGGCTCCATTAACAAAGTGTTGCCTTGCAGAAGCTGGACTCACAGCTGGGTTGGCATGAAGTCGGCAAGCAATTGGAGCCACTACTGGGTGATGTGCCTAAACCAGTCACACAGCAAGCTGATTTGCAGCCACTCTGGTTATAGGAAGGGGGTCCATCACAAGTTGGTTGGCCAGAAATCACAGTGTCACAAGAAGCTGGTTTGCAACAGTTCTTTGTGGAACAAGGGGCCTGGCAGTTAGCCACTGGCTGGTAGATGAAGCATGTGGAAGGAACCAGTTGGCAGTGAGGTGGCTGGCAATGGGAAGGCACACAGCAAGTAGTATTGCAAGAACTGAACACACAAGTCGATGGCTGGCAGGGAACAGGCATGTAGAGGGCTGATTGGCAAGGCTTGAAAATATAGCAGATGGGTTGATAATAAGTTGATTTACAGGGCTGGCCTTCACCACTGACGGGTTGACATGAACTTCCTTGGCACCAAGTTGGTTGGCATGGACTAGCTGTACAGATGGTTGGTAGGCAAGAAGTTTCCGGACAGGAGGTCACTTCAGAGCAGGATGGCTGGCAGGATCCAGCATCACAGCAGACTGATTGGCCACAAGCTGCCTGACATGATCCAGACATGCAGACAGATTCCTGGCAGGAGCTTTGCTGGCAGGGACTGGCATCGCAGCACTTTTCCTGACAACAAGTAGATTCCGAGCAGGATGGCTGACATGAGCTAACCAGACAAGGAGACTGACCAGTGCCAGACTGATAGCAGGCTGCGTGGGAGCACATAGGTTGGCAAACAAAACCCACACAAGACGTTGCTGGAAGGCGGGTAGGTTGACACGAAGCAGGATCACAGCCACTTGGGGCACCAATGGATGGCTGACAGCTTTCTTGGCATGTGACCAGTTGCCACATTCTGCTGTGGCAGGAACTAGGCAAACAGAGAGCATGTCGAAATCCACCTTTAACTGGGTATGTGGTGATGGTGGGCACAGCTGGAATGGCTGTGGTGTTTCCAGGACAACAGCCGTCTGCCATGGTGCTGGTGCTGACCTTGCTGGGAAGTTGCAAGCTCAGTATACCTGCATTGGAAAGACATCCGATACAGAGGGGCTTTTATAGTCCTTCACTAGGGGTGTTGGCACGCCATGCAGCATCTTTCCTTGTTATTGTTTTTACTCATTTGCATGCAAACATCTGATTAGCAGGCTTCAGGAGCCTGGGAGATGTTTCAACTTTGAAAAGGTGTCTGTTGAGTCGGGAGTTTTCTGCGCTGCATTTGGATTCGTTGACACTGCTCCTGCTCTTGGATGAGCTGTCTCTTTTACAGGTTGCTCTCCAGCCTCACTGAAGCAGGCCTTTCCTGGCACTAACCTTTCATCAGGAGGCCTCTGCCAAGCCAGAGTGGCCCTGCTGTTCCTCCAGGAATGCAGCTTTGCACCATTCAATCAGAAATGAAGCCTTGACCCAGTTTGGGGAGAGGATGTCAAGACGGGAAATGGAAAATTAGTCCAAGGAACCCAGGGACACTTAAGTGCCTCTACCTCTTTTTAAAACCTTCCCATTTATCATTCCTGAAACTTGTTTACTAGTACTATTACTAATAATAACAATAGAAATGGCTTTCATTTATTGCATAGTTACTAGATCAAGTCCTTGGCTGCATTTTTCACTGGATCCTCACAATGACTTCAGTAAGTATAATTGTCATCACTATGTTAGAAGTGGCAAAACTAAAAAAAAGTAATAAATAAAGAAGAAACCAGGTTTAAAACAAAGTTAAGATTAAAATATAAAACTTCATTGGCCCTTTTAGGAAGCTTAAAATCTCCCCCAAATTGGTTCCTCTCAAGATTTTTTTAGAACAGAAAAGAAGAAAACAGAAGTGGCAAAACTCATAGAGTTTAAATCATGTTCCCAAAATTATGCAAATGAAAAGGGGTAGAAACAAAATTCAAACCTAGCTTTGTCTGACCACCAAACCCCTGATCTTAACCACCTATTAGACCCCCTGACTTTGGGGAGGCAGGGAGAAGGCGACACTGATATAGTGGCTGCAGGCTGACACCCCTATGGCAACAGACTGGCTCGTGAGCAGGTTGCCCAGGCCCCATCCTGGGGATCCTCCGCCCACTCCAGTGACTGTAATCAGCAGCTAGACCACACTGGTGTGAGTACTTACCTCTACTTATCAATACACTCAAACACAGTCTTTTAATTTTGGAAATTTTTTAAACTACCAAATATTTCATCAGGAAGTATCAAACCCACCCTAGGGCATCAATAGCATATGAATTCTATACAAATAAAAACACGCCAGCAGTGATAATAAAAAAAATCACTGTAAAGTGGTGTTAATGTTAAACCAATCCCTTCCAAGAGGAATTCGTGAGGGACTTTCTTGGCCCTTCTGCTTTTCCTCCGGGCTTGTCCTGGCTCCGCATCACCAACCAGGTCCGGTGTTCTACACCAGCCAACGTTCTGGCCGGTTCACGCTGGAGGCACATGACGGAGTGGAAAGATCACGGTGTGGGGAGCCAGATGGGGCTGGCCTTGATTTCTGGCTCTGCCACTAACTCATTCTGTTGAATATGTTAGCTAATTACCTAAGTCTTCAAAGTATGGCGATTTCATCAACTGCGTTGTCATGTCTCAGGTTAGTTTTTTGTGGGTGTTTGTTTGCTTTGGTTGCTTCACAAATTATTGAAAATACTGAAAACGCTGAAGGGTACTTTGCAAACCCCCAGCTACAAAATGCCTTCTCCTTGGCACCCTCTTCACCTCCATTTTAAAAAGAAGAGAAACATTTTTGATCAGAACAATGTCTGGAAAACCTTCTCCCCTGCCATTGAAATGCCTTTTTCCCCACAGTTGGTTTCTATGTCACACCATGGATCACTTCTTTTGCCCTCCTTCTTGTCTGTATTCATGTTGGCATCTTTCAATCTGCAGGAATCCATGCACTGTGTTTTATTGCTGAATATTTACCCCCAAAGCTCTTCATCTTCCCAGAGGATGTATTTAATACTTTCAGTCTTACCAAATATGTCAATCAAACTGGGAACATGAGCATGTTTGAAAAATCACATCAACTTCAGTCCAATATCCTATACCACTTTTATAGTTTTAAAGCAATCCATTCTACATCCATTTTTCTCTAAGTGATTCTGCTCTTGTTTTCTTTTCTCCTAAAGGAAACTCTTAATAGCAAGAACATCTGTCTTGCTGTAGTTCAAGGCACTAAAAACACCTAGTGTATCAACAAAGACACCTGTGACCACATTGAGACATATCATGATCCATACAGAACCTAGGCTTTGGAAAGAACTGGGTTTTAGTCATTTGCATGTTACTTATTAGCCATGACAATCGTGAATTTTATCACTCCCTTTATATATATGTGTTTGTGTGTGTACATATGTGTATAAATGCATGTATACTCATACATATGTGTGTCTGTGGTTTTTGAACAATACACACATATATGTTTGAGTGTGTGTATATATATACACACATTATATTAATATACATAAATATATACACACACGTATGGTTTTCTGGAGCTTGTTTATATCAATCAACACTATGTTAGTAAGATTCATCCATGCTATTGCATGTCGCCATTTTCCAGTCATCTTCACAGTATAATATCCCATTGGGTGAATATACCACAATTTAATTGTCCATTGATGGGCACTTGGATTGTTTGTCCTTCGAATTCTGCATCTTATGTATAGGTGAAAAAATAGGAGAGAATACATATTACTTCAAAGAATTGCTGTAATCCATATGAAATGCTTAGTCCAGTGCTTGGCACAGAGGTTCAAAACCCTAGCCAACTCCTGTGTGTGTGTGTGTGTGTGTGTGTGTGTGTGTGTTTAGACAGAATCTCTCTCTGTCGCCCAGGCTGGAGTGCAGTGAAGTGATCTTGGCTCACTGCAACCTCCTTCCAGATTCAAGCAATTCTCCTGCCTCAGCCTCCTAGTAGCTGGGACTACAGGCGTGCGCCACCATGACCAGCTAATTTTTGTATTTTTAGTAGAGATGCGGTTTCACCACGTTGGCCAGGCTGGTCTCGAACTCCTGACCTCAGGTGATTCACCCACCTCGGCCTCCCGAAGTGCTGGGATTATAGGCTTTAGCCACAGCATCCGGCTGGCCAACTCCCCTCTTGACTCTGGAAGGAGACAATGATAAATCCCAATGGCTTGATGAGACAGTAACTCCAACACCAATGTGATTAAGTTTTGCTTTTGACTTTCTCCCTCTGCCATAGTCTGACCCAGTGGTTCTCAAACAGGGGTGATTTTTGCACTCCCAGGCAATGTTTGGCAATGTCTGGAGACATTTGTGATCATCACCCTCAAAGGATGCTACTAGAATCTGGTTCATAGAGGCCAGGGATGCTGCTTAACATCCTATAATTCACAGGACAGCCTTTACAACAAAGAATCGCCCAGCCCAAAATGTCAATAATGCTGAAGTTGAGAAGCCCTGGTCGACCCTCACACTGTGCTCATGATGACTCAAGCTGCCCCTTGAGGACAAGGAATAGGCCTCCATTCTGTGCACTAAGTGTAGGGAGTGACTGCTTTGAAGAGACTCTGTCCTTGGATTTTGTAAGATACAGAATTTATCCTATGAGTGTCTTGGAGGAAGTAGGAGAACATAAACAAAATTCTCACACAAGAAATCCAAGTTACCCAACCTTCTTTGTTGTAAGTATGATCCCTGATCCCCACTTGTTTTTCTTCCTGTGGACCCAAAAACAATTGGCTTCCTTTCCTCCCCAGTCTCTCTATATCCAGAACCATGTTCTTCCATTGAGTTCTCCACACCAACCAAGGCCAGAGGGATGTTCCAAAACCAGTGCTCTTCCTGTCACCTCCTTGCATGCAGCCCCTTGATGCTTTCATGTCAGCCCTGCATCAAACCGAAATACCTCTGTCTAGCATGCAAGACCCCACATAGACAGATCACTGTCTACGACCTGACCTCATGGCTCATTCCTCAAAGAACAACTCTCCCATGCCTCACCTAATGAACAATTTGCCCTCAAGCCCCATTCACTTGTACAAGTCTCCTTTGCCTAGAAAGTTTTTCCTTTCCTGTTTGTAACTGGTTAATTCCTACTCATACTGAAAGACTCGATGCCAGTATCACATTCTCCAATAATTCTTTCCTTGTTCCCCAACTATGCTCTGCTGAGTTCATGGTGCTCTATGCTTATCTCCAAGTACTTGGCACAAAGGAATGTCATAATTGTCTTGCTGCCCACCAGAGAGTGAGTTTCTTG